>NC_000018.10:54235907-54536574 GCF_000001405.40 Homo sapiens | reverse complement strand
TGGGTTCAGTAGAGGTGGCAGTGGTAGCTGTTGTAGTTGTAGTCTCAGTGGCCATGGCTGCAGTTGCAGTGGCAGGCTGTTCAGTTGCAGTGCTTGCTGAGATTGTCATTGTGGGTTCAGTAGAAGTGGTAGTGGTGGCTGTTGTGGCTTTTGTCTCAGTGGAAGTGCCTGCAGTTGTGGTGGCAGACTGTTCAGTTACAGTGCTGGCTGTTGTGGTGGTGTTGGGTTCAGTAGAGGTGGTAGTGGTAGCTGTTGTGGTTGTTGCCTCAATGGAAGTGCCTGCAGTCGTGGTGGCAGACTGTTCACTGGCAGTGCCGGTTGTTGTAGTGCTGGGTTCAGTAGACATGGCAGTGGTGTCTGCTGTGATTGTAACTCCAGTGGAAGTACCTCCAGTTCTTGTGGCAGACTGTTCAGTCACAGTGCTAGCTGCTGTTGTGGTTGTGGGTTCAGTAGAGGTGGCAGTGGTGGCTGTTATGGATGTAGTCTCAGTAGCAGTGGCTGCAGTTGTGGTGGCAGACTGTTCAGTTGCAGTGCTTGCTGTGGTTGTCATTGTGGGTTCAGTAGATGTGGTAGTGGTGGCTGTTGTGGATGTAGCCTCAGCGGAAGTGTCAGTAGTTGTGGTGGCAGACTGTTCAGATGCAGTACTGGCTGTTGTGGTTGTGGGTTCATTAGAGGTGGTAGTGGTGGCTGATGGGGTTGTAGCCTCAGTGGAAGTGCCTGCAGTTGTGGTGGCAGACTGTTCAGTTGCAATGCTGGCTGTCATTTTGGTTGTGGGCTCAGTAGAAGTGGTTGTGGTGGTTGCTGTGGTTGTAGCCTCAGTGGAAGTGCCTGGAGTTGTGGTGGCAGGCTGTTCAGTTGCAGTGCTTGCTGTGGTTGTCATTCTGTATTCAGTAGAAGTGGTAGTGGTGGCTGTTGTAGTTGTAACCTCAGTGGAAGTGCCAGCAGTTGTGGCGGCAGATTGTTCAGTTGCAGTGCTGGCTGTTGTTGTGGTTGTGGGTTTAGTAGAGGTGGCAGTGGTGGCTGTTGTGGTTGCAGTCTCAATGGAAGTGCCAGCAGTTGTGGTGGCAGACTGTTCAGTTGCTGTGCTTGCTGTGGTTGTCGTGGGTTCAGCAGAAGTGGTAGTGGTGGCTGTGGTGGATGTAGCCTCAGTGGACGTGCCTGCATTTGTAGTGGCATCCTTTTCAGTTGCAGTGCTGGCTGTTGTTGTGGCTGTGGAGTCAGTAGAGGTTGTGGTGGTGGCTGTTGTGGCTGTTATCTCAGTGGAAGTGCCAGCAGTTGTGGTGGCAGACTGTTCAGTTGCAGTGCTGACTGGTGTGGTTGTGGATTCAGTAGACGTGGTAGTGGTGGCTGTTGTGGTTGTAGTCTCAGTGGAAGTGCCTACAGTTGTGGTGGCAGACTGTTCAGTTGCACTACTGGCTGTTGTTGTGGTTGTGGGTTCAGTAGAGGTGGCAGTGGTGGCTGTTGTGATTGTAGACTCGGTGGAAGTGCCTGCAGTTGTTGTGGTGGACTGTTCAGTTGCATTGCTCATTGTTGTTGCGGATGTGTATTCAGTGGAAGTGTTAGTGGTGGCTGTTTTGGTTGTAGCTTCTGTGGAAATTCCTGCTGTTGCTGTGGCTGTGGCTTCAGCTGAAGTGGTGGCTGGTGATATTGTAGTTGCAGCTGAAGTATTATTGGAGGTCATTGTGCTGGTAGGTTCTATAGAAGTGCTTGCAGTGGTTCTTATAATAGTAGGTTTAGGTGAAGTGGATTTTGTGGTAGAATTTATTATAGTAGTGGCAACAGTAGGTTGAGAAACTATAGATGAGGTTATTCCAGTGGCAGATGAGGGTGTTCCATGGCTTTGGGGAAATTGGATAACAATGGAGGCATTATTATTTTTCCCATTATATACCAGGGATACTATGAGTACTCCAATTGCTGTCGTTATCACACAGGCTAAGAGACAAGCCAGAAAGGTTTTCCATAGAGACCAGTCACAGAAGAAATTCCGTGTCACCTGGAACGGATTTAAATAAAATTACTAAGGATGAAAATAAATATTTTATGAAAAATTAATGCCATTGTTCATCCTTTTTATACGTTTTCTTCTAGTAGCATTATAGTTTCAAGTCTTACACTTGAGTGTTTTGCCATTTTGTGTTGATATTGGTATATGATGAGTGATCAGAGTCCAATTTCCCTCTTCTCCAGGTGGATATTTAGTTTTCCCAACACCATTTTTGAAAAGACTGTTCTTCATTGTGTGTTCTTCACATCTTTGTTGAAAAACCAATCGATCATTAATGTGTGGATTTATTTCTGGACTCTGTCCTCTTCAATTGGTCTGGTTTTTTAGTGCCAATACCATCCTGTTTTGATTACTACAGCTTTGTAGTAGATTTTGAAATAGATTACTTCATTGAAACAATGTATAAATGAAACCAACTTTGCAAAAATTATAACAGTGAGAAAATTATGATGGTGAAAGATATCTGATCTAATCAACCCTCATCTTGACTTTAATCTCCAAACTGTCCTTACTTGTTCCTAGGCATAATAGCCCTTCCCCAAAACTAAACTGCCTTTGTAAAGCTAATGAAAGACCACCAGGTTAGGAGGATGAGAGGAGCCTGAATTCTGATCAGGTGTAGACATAAATGATTACCTATCATTATTCTGGAGATCACAAGATTTACAACTTCCCCAATTACTCCTGCAGATTCCTTCACTATTGTAGCACCTAACATTGGTCTTTTGAGATTCCTTTTCAGGTTTTTGCATTTCTGATGACTGGTGGCCCCAACTCGTCCTGTGGCCCCACCCAGAATCAACTTCAGTGGCCATGAGGA
This sequence comes from Homo sapiens, assembly GCF_000001405.40. NCBI lineage: Eukaryota > Metazoa > Chordata > Mammalia > Primates > Hominidae > Homo > Homo sapiens. The sequence continues at coordinate 54,533,746 of NC_000018.10, read as the reverse complement.
CTATTTCCCACACTCCTATGATTCCATCCCCAACCAGTCAGTAGCACCCATTCCCTAGCCACCTCTCCTTCTCCCAAACTATGTTTGAAAAACTCTAGCCTCCAAATCTGGGGGGAGGCGGATATGAGTAATAATAAAACTCTGGCCTCCCATTTAGCCAGCTCTAAGTGTGTAAAACTCTTTATTGCAATCCCCCTGTCTTGACAAATTTGTTCTATCTAAGCAGTGGGCAAGAAGAACCCATTGAGCATAAAACAGGAAGATAAAAACTATTTTAAATAACAAACGCTGGGCCCAAATTTTAGCTTTTATTAGGAAAAGCCTTGTACTTTTGTTTCCTTAATGTTCAAAGAAATTTCCGCTGATCTCTCATGCTTTCTCATTCACATGAATATATCTTTCCAAATTAAAAAATAATAAATATCTTCTTAGAAACTCTTTATACCTCCCAGGGTACATAAACCATCTAAGTCAAGGTTGAAAACATATGAGATCAGAGCCAGGAGGGCTACAGGAAGGCCCACAGTTAGATTCAGAGGCATGCAGGAAGGCAGAGTGAGACAGATCATCCACAGATTAGGGCCTGGACCTCAACACATGACGTCATCTTCCACCTGAGCAAGGTTTACAGACAATGTCATTCACTGCCAATGTATTTGTTATGTTGCTACCTATTCAGTACTTCAAAAATAAAAGCCTCTAATTTTTGTTTTCTTTGGCCCTCTCTAAACTCCTTATATGTTTTTGTCTTTCTATTAAGATCATTAACTCCTTAAGCAAACAAACAGCCCCATAAATCTTCTACCTCTCCTATATTCCCTCTCAGTGACTTCACATTTTCAAAGGATTTCTCAAAAGAAAAATGTTAATGTTAATTGACCGAATGTTCTTCCTCCAAATATTGGATCAAGAGTATTTTCATGTGGATTATATCTTAATCCAGAAAACATTGTTGTCCCAAGTATTACCTGATAATGTTGGAATTCTCTGTTTGGAAATTCTGAGTGTTCAAGGGTCGCTGGGCTGGTGCAGGCACCAATTAAATTAGTACCAACATCACCAGTTATTTCAGTTGATGTAGAGAATTGACATGCTGAATTGTGAGCTTCATGGTTTCTTGGACTCAGGAAAGGCTATAGGCAGAAAAGAATGGGAAAAAATGTAAAACATTTACTACCTATTCAGATGTCTGGCTCCAGGCCAAAATTCTATGTGTGACCTTTCTGATGTAACCATAGGCCACTGCAAAGGCTTCACCTGGAAAGCCTCAAAGAGGAAAGGGCCCTCCCTGAAGATTTGGTGCAGCTGTGCATTGCAGTATCTGGAGGAAGCTGCAGTCAGGAAGCTGCATTGCATTTGTGCACTGCAGTCTATGAAGGAACCTGCAGTCAGGAATTCAGCCTTCCCTTCCCCCATGCCACCCTGGGCAATCATGCTGTTGAGCATATCTTCATTCCTTGCCTAGGAACTTCCATCTGGAGCCTTCCTTGTTTGGTGAGGGGTTAGAAACAAGGGTTGCCTCAGGGGAGATACTGTTCAAGCACTTGTGTGGACATCTCCTTAACAGGGGCCTTGAAGACAATTTTCTCCACCCTGACTCAGTACTCAGTTCTTTCCCACTTCTAGGCCTTCTTCCTCTTTCTCTATCTCCCAGTCCATAAAATGGCAGAAGCCCTTTGTTCAGTGGTCCCTTGGCAATTGGGTCATCCTGGTCTATGCTGATCCATTTAACTCTTGCCCAGTGCTGTTATGTGGAGAAAAAAAAAAATGGAACATTATGGTGGCTGACACCATATCTCTTCGACCTCTTGCTTATACTATTGCAATAAGTGAATAAGGGCTTAGTCATTACTTTTAATTTGGCTCAAAGTCCTAATTGAACACCTGGACAGCTAGCATCTCTCAGCACCTATCATATGACATAGTCACTGTGTTCCTGCCTGTACATCCAAGAGCTGTGAAAGTATATGTGCTCCATAAGCCATGGACAAGGAATTTTGTAATGCCTAACCTTATTTTACTAACCCAGTTTTTAGACTCTCCTTTTTTCTCCCTTAATCACCTAGCCTTGTTTCCACATGAATAGACTCTCCCTTAGCTGAGAAAGCCCGAGGAACTCCACCTGGCTCCCTTGATTTACAAGACATTAAGGACTCCCTACCCACCCCTTTTCCTCAAGGAGTTAACTTGTGTAAGCAGATTCTCAACATATCAAAAGAGTCCAATTAACTGATAAGGTACTAAAACAAGCAATGTACGAAGTTCCCAGGATTTTGCTCAAAAGATAACACCATAAAGCCTTGAGTTTGTGTCCGGCATAGCACCCATATCTAACATCTTATGAAGGATTTAGAGCCCCCGCACCTGGTACTGTTGCTTCTCTGTAACCATTTGTCTTTTAAATTGTTTGTTTCTCTGTAGCCATTTGTCCTTTTTAATTTTTTTGCATGTTTTACCTCTGTAGAATTATTGCATCTGAACCCCCCTCCCCTACCTAAACCAAAGAATAAAAGAAAATCAAGCCCCTTCCTCATGGCCGAGAGAATTTTGAGCGTTAGCTGCCTCTCGGTCGCCGGCTAAATAAAGGACTCTCAATTTCTTCTCAAAGTGTGGCGTTTCTCTAACTCGCTTGGGTGCAACAAGTTCACAGAAGCTTGATCCATAACATCAAAAAATGAAAACAACTCAACCGTTCATCAACAGGAAAATGGATAAATAAATTATGGTTTGTTTATGCAAATGAAATATTTTACAGTTATAAAGAAGAAACCAGTGATACAGATATGGTGTTGAGCAACATAAGCCACACACATAAGAGTACTGTACAACTCCATTTATGCAGAATTCAGGAAAACACAAAACTAAGATGCGGCAACAGAAGTAAGAGTGGTTACCTCTGAAAGGATGGGGTACTGATTGGCAGCAGCATAGGGGGTCTTCTTGGATGTTGCAAATGTTCTGTATTTAGATCTAGGGGATGTCACAGGTGATCAGTGACTATCTGGGCCAGTGGCATGGGTGGTAAAAATAATTTATCAAAACACTTGTAGGTAAAGAAAAGTAGATTTATCAGAGAAAGTTGCAAAATAAGTTGCAAGGAAACAGTGGGCAAGTTAGCAAGAGAGGAGCTGATGGCAAGGAGATAAAGGCTTGCTGGGGATTTTGTAGGATGGTGCCTGCGCTGTGTGCTGAAGAGGGATTTATGCAGTATTGATAATGCCAAGATTGCAGTGAGCTAACTTGCAGGTGTCTGGTGATCGGTTGGGCACAGGAAGATTGTAAGTTATTTGCACAGGACAGCTGTGTGTCCTGGACCATGAAGAATGGCAGACTTATAGCTTATCTGCTTTTGGTTTTTGCTTTCCCTTGGTTCCACCAGCCTGACTCCTTTTCCCTAATTAAGACTCTACAGGGGATGGTTACACAGGTATGTGTTTGATGTATATATGCACATATATATGTGTAAAAATTCATTAACCTGTTCACTTAAATATGTTTACTTTATGTATAATTTACATAAAGTATACTGTACCTTAATTTTTAAAAATTGAAAATAATGAGTATACTAAGCTACAACATGAATGAACCTTAATATATGAAAATTTTTGAAAATCATGTAGGACATTGGAGAATCCCAAAATGGAATGCAGAGTAGGATGAAGCAACCTGACTATATTACAAATGTAAGAATCAACAATTTCACTGAAGTGGATGGAGTAAAAAGGTGCTGACTAAAGGAACTTTGGGAACAAGTGGAGTCTGTCACACTAAAAGCAAAAAACTGGACGCAGCATTGAATCATAGTTGATGAAGTTGTTACCTACAGGGTAACAGTTCCATACATGCATTCTGGAATGAAATAATTAAGCAAACGGATGGAGGATGGCAGTGTGGGAGCCAGGTTTCTCCGTGTTAGAGTAGAAGTTTACGGATAAGCAAGATAAGAAAGTATAAACCAAAAGTAAAATTCTAAGCTGCCCAACCAAATGAACAGACTCACCTCTTGGCCAGGGGACCCAAAGAACCCTGAAAAACTACTTCAAGCCACAAAAGGAAGGGCAGGTCAGACATACTTCATTGTTCCCTCCTCCCTTTGGAATTTAGGCACAACTGACCAGCATTAACATTAAAATAGAGATCATAGACTAACAAAACAGACTCTTTGTAGCAATGAGATACCCAGCTCCAACCTGACCTTGGTTTAGCATCACATGACAGCAGGCACTGATGGAAATACAAGAATTTTACCCCAAAATATATTTCTTTGACATATTTTGAAATGGCCCTGCAAAGCCATCTCTTGTGGGGGAAATTTGTGCTCTGTAGAAAAATCCCCTTCCTTTTCCAGGTGTTTTCCTGATTCAGGAGAGATTTAACTGAGCCTGACAGCTTTTAAAGTCAGGTAAGAGTCATTTACCATCTATTCTCTCTAAAGCCTGCCACCTGGAAGCTTCATCTACATAAGAAGAATCTTGGCTCCCACAATCTTCCTTATCTTAACTCAAGCTTTCTTTCTGCTGATTTCCACTCTTTAGGCAAAGATCAACGCTTTCAACCAATTGCCAATCAGGAAACCTTTGAATCCACCTATGACCAGTGTGTCTACTGCTCCCCCATCCCACCCACTTTGAGATGCCCTGACTTTCCAGGCCAAAACAATGTATACCTTACATGTATTCATTTACATCTTTGCCTGTAACTTCTGATGCCAGAAAATGTATAAAACCAAAAGCTATAACACAACCACCTTGGGCACATGTTCTCTGGACTTCTTGAGGCCATGTCACAGGCCATGGTCACTCATATTTGGCTCATAAGAAACCTTTTCAAATATTTTAGAGTTTGGCTTTTTTCATCAGTGGAGGCTAGAATGATCCATGGATCATTACAGTTGGAGACTGGATGAATTATAGTTGGAGATATCAATATAAACTCATGTTTAGCTTAATAGCAACATTGATAGTTACATATAGAAATATTTATAGATATGTTTATATGCATGGGTTAGTACACTCACATATGTCTCCTTGCTTTGTCAGCTGAGAGGACCCAGAATCAACAAAATGCTAGTAGCAACAAGCACACCCAGCACCCAAATCTTGGTTTTTAAATACCATTTCCAATAAAAGGACCCAGGGATCCTTGGAGAAATGGCTGATTCTAGTGCTAGAGCAGGAAATATATAAGATGAGCCTGAATATCTTGTAGTATCAGAGAGTAAGAAAGTCTCCACTCCCTCCTTTAGAAAAACCCATGGCCGGGCGCAGTGGCTCATGCCTGTAATCCCAGCACTTTGGGAGGCTGAGGTGGGTGGATCACCTGAGGTCAGGAGTTCAAGATCAGCCTGGCTAACATGGTGAAATGCCATCCCTACTAAAAATATAAAAATTAGTCAGATGTGGTGGCGGACACCTGTAATCCCAGCTACTCCAGAGGCTGAGGAACGGGAATCACTTGAACATGGGATGCAGAGGTTGCAGTGAGCCGAGTTCGCGCCACTGCACTCCAGCCTGGGTGGCAGAGTGAGACTCTGTTTCCAAAAAAAAAGAAAAAGAAGACTCCATCTGTGTTTGGTACATGGGTGCCTACTTAAAATTTTTTTAAACTAAATGCATTAAAAATGTCGGTTCAAATGTGAAACATTTGGGGGGTTAGGTTTTTCTTAAAGGGTGGTTGAAAGAAAAAACAATCTCAGAAACAGTTTTAAGAAAAAGGAGAATAATCTGTGTTAGATATTCAAGGGACTGCAAATTGGTCCATGTAAATTTGTTACAATTGAAAAATATTATACAATTATCTAGAACTTTTTTTCTAATACAACAGTAAGAATATTATTTAAATATACTCTCCTGGCCAGGTGCAGTGGCTCACGCCTGTAATCCCAGCACTTTGGGAGGCTGAGGCAGGTGGATCGCCAGAGGTCAACAGTTTGAGAACAGCCTGGTCAACATGGTGAAACCCTGTCTCTACCCAAACTACAACAATTAGCTGGGTGTGGTGACATGCACCTGTAATCCTAGCTACTTGGGAGACTGAGGCAGAAGAATCTCTTAAACCTGGGAGGTGGAGGTTGCAGTGAGCTGAGATAGCACCATTGCACTCCAGCCTGGGCAACAAGAGTGAAACTCCATCTCAAAAAATAAAATATATAAAATATAAATAAATAAATAAAATAAATATACTCTCTTGACCTTCTTGATTAAATACCCCATCCTAAATGGATTTTTAAAAAACTACTGACAGATCAATTAATCTCTAAATTCTATTGAAACAATCAAACCATATGTGTATGCAGACACTACTCAGTGACAGACTATACATAAGAATAAAAGAGAGTTTAATTGTGATTAAATACAGTCAAGAAGGAATATATCTGGGTGTAAAGACTTAGCCAGAGTCTAATTTTTTTTACAGTACAATAGCAAGCCAGAACATTTTTTAGTAGCTATTCAGTGATATCGAATAAGATAAAATCTGATATACACAGGTACTTTAACAAAATTCCATCTGTTTTTCAATCAGAAACTTTGAGAAAAATAACAAAGATTTATCTTTTATAAAAGCTTCACTTATTCTTCAGCAATTTAGTATACTGAGGGTGATGAACTTAGATTTTGTTGTTGTTGAACTTATATAATTAAGTAAAACCTCACTTTCCAAACCAGCTTGCCTGAATTTCTTTTAAATTCTTTAAAGGAAAGGAGATAGTGGGTACCTGTACCAAGAATGAAGAACACACCCCAGTGGAGCTTTGGGGGTAATATAATTCGTGCTATCTCAGTTTCTCCTGTCAGTCTCTAAAGTTAAAAATTAAAGTTAAAAGTTGTCTCTAAAGTTAGAAATTGATCAGTTAGGGAGCTGTGAATTATACTTAATTAGCTTTTGGTAGCAGCCAATAATCTCCATCATGCATCTGATATGCATTAGCTATACTCACAGAGTAAAATTTTAAATTCCCTATTCACAGATTTAAAGAGATTAATTTACCAATTTTTGTTTCCTAAGAGAGAAAAACAAACTCCTACATTTTATTTTTATGTGGCCTTCAATTTCTATTCAATCCATTGACCAAAATGGCCCTTAATGAAAAAAAATTTTTTTCTATCACTATGTCCAAGTATACACATGTAAGTAAAATATTCAGTCAGTGTTAAAATATGTAACCTTTACTTGAAAACAGCATTGTTTAGGAAAACACTCAAGATGACTAACTGATTCCTTACTATTACCAAAGAAATCTTTTTATTTGAGTATGTTGACACTGTGAAGACACAGTGACAGATTTGCAGGGCTAGACAGACCATGAAGACCGTCTTCAGGGTAGAGGGGTCCTGATCCAGAATCAAGGGAAAAATTTATCTGCCTTATAACTTCCTTGTTAGTTCATGGAGAGAAAAATATTTTTCCTCACAAAACATAACTATCCATTCAAACTTACACTGATTTCATTCAGCACATTTCCATTTCTGTTTCCAATATCAAGGACTCTAGTTAGACATGAAGAGTTATATAAAATGCAATCATAAAACATACAGAGCTAAATTGTTTCTTCTAAAAACCTAAACAATAAACAAGGTTGTATGTAATTGAACTCTAAAATATTACCTAAATACAATTCTTTACCAAAAAAGAAATTCATAAGTACTTAAGTAGAGGCCAGTCTAAAGGATTTGCTAGATAATTTGCTTCCTAGGCCTCAACTTTACTTACAAGATTCACTTCTGACTCCCAAAGATATGTAGAAATATCTGGGTTCTGACAAATCTAGATATTACACTAACAATCTTGGCAGTTAACACAAAAATCTACACATCACATTTTAAAAGTTTAATTTGCTAATGCAATCAAACCCACATTTGTTGTCTTATGCTTAAATTATAATAACTGTAAAGTATTAAACATATCATTAAATTGTTACCCCCCAAAATTGCTGATGTCTTAGATCAGTGATTATTTAAAATAAGTTTCTCTGCTATGCATGTATTGACATGCAGAAAAAAATACAAGTTTTCTAATTAATAAGTTGTAATAGAGCAGCTAGAAATTGGCTTCCATGTAAAATTTTAAGAATTCCATTTTGGGAAAAACTATGTTATAATTTTTAAAAATTAGAGTTTCATAAATATTGAAAATAAGACTCTGGACTGTGAGAATATATCACAGTGGTGCCACCAATACTCACTGGCTGGTTTCCAGAGTGTTCAATGTTCACTATGTATTTCCCATGTTTTCTGTCCATTCTTGAACTGCAAATATCACAAGCTTAACTCCAGAAACGTTTTCCAGCCTCTTCATTGCCCTTTATACCTAAAATCTTGAGAAATAATTGAGTTGATTAATAGTAAATCAACTATGAGACATCAGTGCCAGTGTGGATTAGACTAAATAATAAATAATTATTCTTTACATGGGATCCACCCACCTTAACACCTGCGGTGTTAAGTAATCACGTAAAGGCACAAGAAAATCAATGCCACCTCTGTGACTACACTCTCAATACTCCTCCCCAAGCAGCCTGCTTAGTAGAAAGAAACTGCAGTCAGATACATTTCTTCCTTCTCTCCCCTGTCACATCACTTCTCAGGACTCTTCCTTCTGACCTCAAGAACAGCCCAAGACAGGAACAGAATTCTGGTATAAGTGAATGTTTCTGTTGCTTCTTTTCTAACCACATGTGATTGTCTTTTCCTCCAATAAGAGGAAAAAACTTTCAGAGGAAACAACTTTTAGAGGCTCACCACCCACTGCTCATCAAGTCTTGACCTTCCTGGGGACCTTTCCATGCTCTACAACTTTTCCAGTCTATTCTCTCTCTCCCTCTCTCTCTCTCTGCTTCTGAAAAAAATTAATATGACATGGCTTAGCCTTCCTCAAGCCTCAATACACCACAAGATAGTTAATCTGATGAACAAATCTCTGCACATGTATTCACCAGGGTCCCTTTTTCTTCCCATCTTGTGGGCTCCAATTGGCATGGCCACCCAAGCAATTACTTCTGATTGTGCTTATGATTTAATAACAGGGTATGTGAGCAAACAAGGCTCTTTCAACTTTTGCAAATTATACTCCAAGGCAAAGGCTTTTTTCTTATCTGTAGAAATATCTTTGGCAGGATCTAAAAGACAATTGGCAAAAGTTAAGAGATTATTTTTAACCTCTGAAATGAAAAAAAAAATACCAATCACCTCCCAATACACGTATCTAGGGAATCTGAAAAAAAATTGATGCAGAAAGTTGTTGGTGAAGAATGGTGCTTAATAACCTAAAAGACTAAAAATATCTCTTAAGTAATAATTAATCCAGAGATTATTTCTTGCAAATGAAGCAACAAAGACAAAGTAGTTGTACTCTTTTGTGGAAAATGTCTCATGATCAGACATCTATCAGGCTTCAAAGATAAGAACCACCTGATAACAGAGTTGCAAGAGATCCGAGAGATCTTGTAGCTCAGCCATGTCATTTTAAGGTGGAGGAAATTTGTGTCCAGAGAGAGGAAGTGGTAAAAAGCCAGTTATGTGGTGGAACCTGGCTTTTATGCAGTCTAATATCTTCTCCACAACTACATTATCAGCAGTGACATGGTAGAAAGATGGACAACTTAGTAGGAAGTCAAGGAAATATCCTTTTGAAATTAAAGTAAGACAAAGATTTCAAAGACTTGGAGTTGGAGAGGATCCTAGATGGAATGCCTATTATTTATCTGGCATTATCTGAGACAAAACCAGACTCTCAGGGGCAGGATCTGGGAGTCTGACTTTTGGTCCTGTTTGTCCAAATGCCAAGTAATCTTTATTCAAACAATGTTTGAGAAATATTTTACTAAGCAATGATTCCAAGAGTAATCATGCAGTAGCTTAGTATCTTTGGGAAGAAAAGTGTGTGTGTGAAGAAACTTGAATTTTCTTAAATAAAAAATGGTTAAGTTTTAAATTGTTTATTCTTCAACAAGTAATTATGGAGTCTCTACGATAGCCAAGCATTGTGCAAAGTGCTGAGTGTTCAATGGTGAAAAAGAGCGAAGATTATGTATTTTAAAATTTTTTGATCATTTCTAAAATTCTTTTATAAATGCATTCTTCAGCAAAACGTTTCCATTGGAATCCACTGAAGCAAAGAAAAACAGCCCTGGGGCCTATACTACAAAAAAGGCATGAAAAATCTAGGGAAGAGATTTGGTCCAAAAAAGAGTCCAAAACAATGGCTTCCAGGACTGTATAGGTAGAGTGTTCATGTACTTTACCATCCATTTCAAAATTTCCTTTTGAAAGCAAAAGGAAACACTAGTAGTAATTTCAGAGACAACGGTATCTCATGCAAACAAGACAGGTGGTCACTTAGCTATAAGGAACCTACGTGAGTTGGAAGATTCACTAGTACTAAACAATACCACTCAATAAGCCACTGACTCCACTGACTTAAAAATCAATTCATATCACTAGTGAACAAATATGTCAGTTGATTAGAATATATACTTTAGTTGAACTATTTTAAAATTTAACATAACATTGTAATACTGAGATACAAATATTTAAATTTTGCACTGGAGTTTCATAACCATCGAGTATGTGGAATTCCACCAATGTAAATCATTATTTCAGAAATATATGGAGTATATACATCATTCTGTTACTGACAAAATAATTTCAAAGTCCCTCCGTCACCATCATGAATCGATTAGCCATTGCAAGAGCCAAAGTAAGAATGAAAATGTAAATTATCATGTTCTTAAATTTTCAGTGGAAAATTCAAACTTTCACTATTTTTTCAAAGAACATATTTTGTTCATTTATTACATCTTACATCACAGGCCAACCACTAGAGTAGAGTGCACCTGGATTATTACAATGTGCAAAGAGAATACAGATATCTCTCATTGGTATGCTGAATATCTCCTACAAAAGCTTTTCATATCTGCAGAATTTTAAGCCAAAAAATTTGGAAGCCTACATTAATTAAGAATAGTTGACAGTCCTTCAATAACAGGGTTTCTTTTTTTAGCCAAAGGAATGTAGAGTCTGTTAATATGTCATCTAGCATTATAAAATGAAGCACACTATAGTCCTAAAGATTACAATGAAATTGATTTATTTATCATGTTACCCACATCAAACATTTCTGTGGCTGAGATTTCACCATGAACTGATAGTAATCAAAACATCTCTGTGTCCCTGCTTTGGTCTTTTAATGTGATGAGAATCAATATGACATCTCCACGTCTATCATCTTTAGCAATTTTTTGATGCCAGGGCCATTATTATAATTCATCATATTGTGTTGAGTGATCAAATGGTAATGAAATAAATGGATACCATATTTCAAAGGCTTCAGTACAGAATTCAGATTTACATTTCCTGTCAATTAAACTTGAAAAGATAATTGTTCAAAATGCGTGGAAGTTAAATGTCAAGTAAAAATCAAACCAGTAAAATGACTATGTGAAAAAATGATCAAGTGGAAGACTGAAAAAACCAAAACTATCTGAAAATTTGTTCAACAAATCATCTCTGTCCTACCCCTCCAATGACCACCAAAAAATGTGCCTTAAATAAATTAAGGGTTACTTTTCCTTGACTTAAGGAAAAGGCTACAAGAGGGCAGTTCAGGTGTGTGTGAGAAGTAGGAAAATAAAAGTTTCATCCCTTGTTGAAGAATGTCACTGGGGCACACTAACTGGCTGCTGTTCTACACCTGGGCGGCATCTGACTCAGCCACATCTTATTAATAATGTTATTGCCATTTCTTGTGAAGGAATGCCTCTTCCAGAGCATACCACACTGATCATATCTAATCCTCCTAATGTCTTCCTGAATTAAATGTCATTACCCCATTTTTCTGATGAAATACCAAAGCATTTAGTGATATTTTATGAGTTCTAAGGTAAGTTTGTGGCTCCCCATTCATTTACCCAAGAAGTAGTTATTAAACTCCTAGCACATTCACTGTGTCACATTAGATGCTGAGAAAAAAAAAAAAAATTGGGAAATGGGGGAAATGAAGATATATTTAGAATCTTAATCTCTTATGGATAGGAAAAAGATCAGAAAGCAACCAGAGACTCTGCCAACACATCTCAATATATTAAGACAATATGATTGTTTATTGACAGCAAGAAAGGGGTGGTGGTAATGCCCAAAAACTTGCCTGCCCACTAGCAAGAGGCTGCTGGAACTCAGACCTAAATTACATCACAGGCTGAAAATTCTCAGGGAGAAGGCAAAGTTTATTATTTTTGCAGACTCGGAACCTCTGCCCAGGGTTCAAGCAAATGATCAGCATGAGAGAAACCAACCAAAAATATCAAGGCCTTCTACAGGTGCAATTCAATTAGACAATCCTCAGGAGTCCAGGCATTCATTGACATCTACGTCACAGTCTGCCTATAGGGAGTAGGGCTCTAGCATCAGAATAGATGAGCCTCCAGCCTATAGGAACGGAAACTGGAAAAGGACAAAACAAGGCTTCCAGCCCTGTTGGAGAATGGAGGAGAACAAAGTGATTACTAAAATAGGACTCAAAGGGAAACCCAGGAAAAAGTCAGGTATAAAAACTGAGTCACACAGACAGGGCTTAGGCTTGTAACCTCTGGTATCATAATTTGATTATCAGATCTGAGGCACCATGGAATTTGGGTTGAGTCCTGATCCTGAGACCAGAATGAAAATACTAGTCATTCGTGTTGTTTGTCAAATGTTCTAGCTCTCCCTTTTCCAACACGTGATAAGGTTGCACTTTCTAGCCTTCTGTGTTTCTTCTCAGTCTCCTTGAATTCAGGTTTCTTTTGGCTACAGTTGTAAGTAAAAAATGTATTTATCACTTTGAAGCCAGAGATTTAAAACTGATGCATGTCATAAGCCATGATAGAAGACAATGTTCTACAAAAAGGCCAGGTTCCATTAGCCCAAGTTTCAGAATGAGGACAATGATAAATGAACAGAGCCCATAAGTGACCAGTAATGGGCAGATAGTGTGAGCAAGAAATAAACCTTTGTTCTTATAAATCATTGCAATACACAAGCTGTTTGTTATTGCAGCAAAACGTAGCCTGTCCAGACTAATACAGAGATCTAAGGACTCACCAGTGGGACATTATACTTCATCAGCTCACAGCTGCAACATAGGTATCAGGGCCACAGTAGATGGAGGAAGATCCTGGCACCTGATTGTTCAAAATTGAAGGTTTAACTATCTGGTCAGTGAAATCTGTCTCAGTCATGGTGGGTTGGGAATTTAGGCAGGACAGAAGCCATTGTGGGGTGCTGGAGTAGACCCTGGAAGGAGGAATATGGTGAGTATGACAGTTAAGTCATTCAGTATGTTCAGAGAGCAAAGGCAGTGACTGATGTAGAATAAAGCCAGTTGCTGATGGCTTCTTGGAAGGCGTGAATCTTGAGCCAGATCATAAAGGATATTAGAGGTTGGCAAAAAGAGCAAAAGTAGGTGTTGTAAAAGAAGAGAGTCTTTAAGAGGAAGTAGAATGGGCAAAAATAATGAATGTTGCTGAGAAAGATGCTAGCAAATACCTTGGTTGTAGAGAAGAACTACAGACAGGAGACTTCCTACTAATTGCAAGCCCTGTGCTAATGAATCTCATAAATCTCTTCCTCTGGTAAGGACAGGAGTCTCATTGCTGGCCTTCTCCATCAACTCTCCTCCAAGAATGCAGAGTGATTCTTAAATGCCATCCCATGATGCCATGCCATACTCAACACTCTGATGGATTCTTACTGCATTCAGATAAAAGTCCCAAATCTTTAACAAGGCAAAAAAGGCCCTGCAAAATCTAGCTCCATCTACCTCCTTAGCTGGCTCTGCTCTCCCCTTCAGACACATTCTTCTTTTTCATGAATTCAACAGAAGCCTGACTCAAGGTCTTCTGCTTGTGATATCTTCCCTCCACCCCTGACCAACTTCCCCAGGCTCATGCCTATTCATCTAGGCAAAATAATGACCTTCCCAAAAATGTTCACAGACTTAATCCTCACAGATAGGTTATATGACAAAGGGGAATTAAGATTAAAGGTGGAATTAAGGTTGCTAATTAGTTGACTTTAAAATAGGAAGATTATCCTGGATTATCCAAATGAGACCAATGTAATCAAAGGGTCATAAAAAGTGGAAGAGGTAGACAGAGTGAGCCTCAGAAAGAGATATGACTAAAATGATCAGAGATACACAATTTTGAGGGCTTTGAAGATAGAATAAATGGACCATGAACCAAGGAATGTAGGTAGACTCCAAAAGCTGGAAAAAAGCAAGAAAACAGGTTCTGGAGGCTCAGGGGCTCCAGAAAGAACTCAGCCCTGCCAATACCTTAACTTTATCCCAGTGAAATCCATGCTGGACTTCTAACCGTCAGAACTGCAAGATAATTAATCTGTGTTGTTTTAAGTCACTAAGTTTGTAGTATTTGCTATAGCAGCCAAAGAAACCTAATATATCATCTTCCAGGTCTCAGTGTGAATCTCACTCTCCAATTTAAATTCATTCTTCTACTTTCACAACCTCTCCAGTACTGTGTTCCTTCTTGGGACTTAGCACAGTTGGTCCTTAAACATTAATTTTGTGATCTGTTTAATATCTGTCATGCCTCTTGAATCCAAACTATCACATGGATGGGGACTGTGCAGTTTTCATCATCATTATATCTCCAACACTGGCATATGGTGGACCTTCAATGAGTATTCACTGAATAAACATAAAATAATTCTACACACCTGCAATGTATTTAACAAGTTTAAAAAATCGAAGTTCAGGAAGGTGTAGGTTGCAGATTTGGAATTCGGACATCAGTCAATCTCATATTAGACCCAGGTCTTCCCTCTAGGCCTGTGGCTGGGTCATTCATTATCCTTTTCTTAGCCGAACCTTTAGGAGTAATTATTGCTAACAGTTATTCCCTCTCAGTGAATAATTCTGTCATTAATAGCTTGTGCCTTAAAGCCACTAGAAGTTCTGCAGCTCACACTCAACATCTTTCAGATTTTACTGAGACCCACTGGCTACCACATCCATACCTGTCCCCAAACTGATCCACTTGAAACCCCAATGCTTATTCATAAAATAAAAAATAAAATAGAGGACAATAGAGAATGTTAGCCTTCTTTAATTTTGACCTTGAAATAAAGAGATGCATGTCAGGGGTTCTTCATAATTTATATTTTTTAATTAAGTGTACTGAATAAGAGTCAATCAACCAGACAACAATCAGGCAGTGTCCCTCTCTTACTGGCTTTGCCATGACCTTTCATCATGGCACACCCATGCACACATTCATTTGTGCATGTACTCAATAAGTGTTTGCTGAGCCTTTTTCTATGTCAGGCCTGTGTTAAGCCCTTCATAAGCTTTATTTTTTTTTTTCATTTAATCTCTGCAATTGCATTTACAAGCAGGTAATATTAGTGTTCCCATTTCACACCTAAGGAAACTGAGCTTCTCAGGTGTCAGAACTTGCCCAAGGTCACACAGGCAGTGAGTAATTGAGTTCCAGTTTTCCTCCTAGCAAACTTCTACTTTTCTTTCAAAACCCAGCTTCAACATACATCACTGCTTAATCGTAGCTTTTGCATGTGGCCTTGGGAAGCGCTTCCCCTGTCTTTTGTCCCCACTTCCCTCAGTCTTGCAAGTAAATGGCTCTTAGATCACTGATTTGTGATTACCTATATTTACTTCTATCTTTCTAAAATTTGAGCTCCTCGTGGTATGAAATGACAGAAAATTAATTTTTTCCACCATTATCTCTTAGCTAAAAAAATTAGTAAACTAATTAAAGGTGAAGAAAAACTCTTGACATCCATAAGGGGCCAGGAAGTGTAACTGAGGACTTTTTTTCTTTTTTTCTCTCCCATTTTTGGTAAGAATGATTCAGCCTTAAATAATATCTGAAAACTCATACAATTAAAATTAGGGAGAAAACAAAAGTGTTCCTCACCTAGCACAGTGTGAAATGACCTCAGGTCATACCTTCCCTTCTCCTCCGAGAGTCACACGAGCCACACGCCATGCAGCCATGCACGTCCTAGCTCACCCAAAGCCTACGCTGCCCTCAGGCTTCCCAGGCCCCAGAAAGGCCTCTGTCTCAGAGGGTGGAGCTGCTCACTTTTTCCAGGTAAGTGGACTCACCATAAAATTCTGGTTAGCCACACAAAAAGAGCCTGCTCTAGGGATTAAGGGAGGAACTGAGGAGAAAATTACCACAGGTTTGGGTGTTCAGGCTGTGGGTCCTAGAAACAAGACTCAGTCTCTTAGGGGCATCCAGGCTCTGTATCCAAAATGGTAGCCACAAAGCCCATCCCCTAACCCATGATGCTTAGAAACTGACATCTTTCCATAATAGAAGTTGTCCAGCACCAATTATTAAGTAGGAAAAAGAGGCATTTGTATTGCAAACCTAGAAATAAAAGAGTCATTTATTCACATTTATTTCACAAACACCTAAATAGTACTTACTAAGTTCCACCATCCCTAATTCTGCTGGGGCTGAGTAGTGATTTAGGAAGCAGTACCTGAATAAGGAGGAAGTGACTTCCAAAGACCACAGCCTCATACAATGAGGTAGATTTCCTAATCCCATGATCACTGAGGCTAAGGGAGCCAGACTGCCCCTTCCTCATGTGGTTTCATCTCTCTTGGTCTGTGTGATGTTTTTCCCCTTCAAACATATACATTATCATTTAAACTTGCACCCAATCATGTAAATATGCTGGGGAACAGGTAATTTACTCAAGAAGAAACCCCAGAAGTTAACAAGCATAAGAAGAGATATCCAAAACCATGAGTAATCAGAGAAAAAAGCAAATTAAAACACCAAGGCAGCACTTTACACCAGAATCCCTACCTTGGCTGTGCATTAGAATCAATCACCTGGAAAGATTTTTTAAAACCTAACACCCAGGCCCTACCCTGAGAAATTTAAATCTAAATATTCTGGGTGGGGCTTGGGCATTGGTTTTATTTAAAAGTTCCTGGGGTGTTTTCACAAGGTATTGCGTAGCTAGAATTCAAGGCCTATTGCACTGGCAAAAAATGCAAAGCTGAATAAATGCTGGGCAGGGTGGCAGCAATTCTAGAATCTGGCATTACAGGTCCTTGGTAAAATTAAGGCCACACATATCTATGACCCAGCAATTCTGCTCCTAGGTGTATGTATGTATACACACACACACGCACACACGCACATAAATTATATATATAACTTTATACATGCACGCATTATATATATACATATAATTATATATAATTTATATGTATGTGTTAGATTCACTCATCCCTCTGAACCTACTTTATATTATATATTTAATCTAAATTATATGTATAACTTTATACACACACTATATATACACATACCTAAATATATGTGTATATGTATGTATACATATATAAAGTTATATATATAACTTTATACATGCACTCTATATATGTGTGCATATGTATATCCTAAATCTCAGTGTACATATATTAATATAAATATAAATATATAAAATATATAATATATATGTATAAAGTTTTATATATACATATATGTGTATGTGTGTATATACAAATAAAATATATATATAAAACTTTATACACTTACACACTGACCCTATATATTAAAAACACTATATATAGCATGTATATAAAGTTATATATATACTTTATATTATATAAATACATATACTATATATTATATATTGTTATATAGTATATAGTCTATAAAGTTATATATAATTTTAAAGTTATATATATGTAATTGTTTATATATATATTTAAAATATATATATTTATACCAGCTCAAAAATAATATTTCTGGACTAGGTGCAGTGGCTCACACCTGTAATCCCAGCACTTTAGGAGGCCAAGGTGGGCAGATCACTTGAGCCCAAGAGTTTGAGACCAGCCTGGCCAACATGGTAAACCCCATCTTTATTAAAAATACAAAAATTAGCTGGGCATGGTGGCACATGCCTGTAGTCCCAGTTACTCAGGAGGATGAGGCAGGAGAATCACTTGAACCCAGGTGGCAGAGGATGCAGTGAGCCAAGATCACACCACTACACTCCAGCCTAGGTGATAGAGTGAGACTCTGTCTCAAACAATAATAATAATAATAATAATATTTCTATATTAATTCATTTCACCAAAGTAACATACCATAAATACTTATTAATGCCTCTAATGAAGCAGATACTCAAATACTGGCATTTTATAAATAATTGAATTACACCCAAGCCAAATGAATAAACGTAAAACAGTTTAAAATAAAAATAATTTTAGAGGGTCTTATGACAAGACAAGGAAAACAGAAAATCATACTACTTATACCCCCGTGTTTGACAATTCTGACTGAGCAAGAATCTGTGGGTGTGAATTAACACCTTTTGAATTGGTTTCACACTTTCCATTTGCTGTTCTGGCTATACCTGAGCTGTGGTTGGTGGCTCTGGTTACTTAGACTCAAGAAAAACTTCAGAAAGGCAGAAACAAAGAAGGTGAATGAATCAGCACACTAGTGGAAAAGAGCTTCCTGCAATAAATGTATTCTGTACTATTCTTAAAAGGAAAATAGGCTCAAAACACATGGATTCCAGAAACCCAGCTGCTCCATGTACTCTGAGCAAGTACTTCATAGTTTGCATTGAGCAAATGAAACAGTAAATATTAGGAGTCACAGCTGAAGAAACCAATTAGCAGAAACGACATGTTCCTTCTAGCCCATTGCTCTCCAAACCTGCACATTTAGGTATGTGGTAGTAAATTCGTACTCTTTCCTGCCTGAACACTGTTTCTCTCACTAGGATACCTGCCCCTTATCTTTTCTTTAAACACTACCTCCAAATCCACACTCATAATCCGGGCACAAGTTCAGACTTCCATGAAACCTCCCAGACCAGTTTAAACTTTCAGTAATCTCCCTGTTTTATTATCGTTCATATCATGAAATGTATCACTTAATTCTTATGGAAACTTTTGTTATTTTCAGTCAGTTACTGTATCAATATATTTGCTCCCAACTATAGCTTGTAAATATATTGAGGATAAGACTAAGACTTATAATATCTTAAAATCTATAGTTCACCCTCAGTAAGTACATATGGGTTATCTGGTAGACTGTAATTTATTACCGAATGTTCTAAATGCTATTTACACAAAAGAATACACCACCCAGAGCTCTGTCCAGCACATAGTGGTATTCGGACACAGCATACATAATGGGAGAATATAATTTAAAATAAATGAATAGGCTGTGTCAGAATGGGCCAGTGGGTTCTGAAAGCCGGAGCTGAATTTTCAGGCTTACCTTGGACCTGGAATCACTAACATGCTGTGTTCTGGCCTTCCACTCTGGCTTCCTCATGGTCCCCTGAATTGTTTTTAATCCAGCAAACGACTTGGAGGAAATCTGTATTGTCTTTGACAACCTCTTTTAATGATTTGCTGGATGACGGGTTAAGGACAAGCCTTCAGCTGGCATCCGCTCATGAAGGTTGATTTTGCTCAGGAAGGCTGGAGCACATTGGGTACAAATCCGGTCACTCTACTCGGTAGGATAGCAGCCAATCCCGGGAACCCAGATCCTAGAGGTCCAAGCCTGGACACACAATATTAGCCTAATATCAACCTGAACACATTTGAAACACAGTTCCTTTTCCACCAGGACTTTCACGCCTTTATTGTCTGTGTTTTCAGCAAAATTAGTTTTTCTGCTACAGCTCTGGATGCCTTCTTATTCAAGATAATCAAAATTTTCCTGGAGCTGTTTTCCACTTTTGATTTGTATGTCTTTTGTTTCATTGCCAAGCTCTTTCTGAGATGAAATTCTGAGGTCATTTTCAGAAATTTGAGGCTATAGCTGATTCTTGCTCTTACTATTATAATGCTTTTTGGTCACAAACTTCACAACAATCATGGAATTATACCTTCTACAGACAGGAGGGACTTAAAAGCTACCCCTTCGACTGGTCTCATATAAATCAAACCAGCAGTTTTATTGGTGTCTCTCTAAAGGGACTTGATTTCCTGACCCCTCCTGCTTTAGCAATAAGCAACATTACAGGAGAATACTAAAACTGGTTTACTATCTGTCCCCCGCTCTAGGATCCGCAGGGCAGAGATCTTTGTCACTTTTGTTCAGTTATACATGTTCAGTTTTAGGAAAAGTGTCAGTAAATAAAGCCACTCATCAAAGACACGTTGCTAAATGTAGGTGACTTTGTTTTCAACTCCATTAATACTTTCTCTTGCCTATTTTTACCCTAAGAATGTTCCTGGAATCTGCTCATCTCAACCTCAGGTTATTTGCTTTTTAATTAATTTTTTTAATTAATTACTTAAAAAAACATGCAAACATAAAACTACATTAAATATACTTGTACATTTAAAAAAACAATGATAAAACTCACACCTACTGCATCACCACCCAACCTGAGATACAAAAATTTACCAGTATCCCAGAAACTCTCTGCATGCCTTCCAGGTCACAGGGATACAGATACCTCCTGCTTAAAGGTAACACTATTCTGATTTTCATAGTAATTATATCCTTGCTTTTTATAGTAATTACATTCTTGCTTTTCTTTATACATGCATATGCAAGTCTAAGCAACTTTTGTTACTCCAATTTTTTTCCTCCACAAGTTTGAATTTTTTATATTTATCCTAGAATTTAGAATTTATCAAAGTCTAAGCTTATTCCAACCCTCATCACGCTCCCCCTGAAAAGGTAGTAACTTTTGAGCCAATTAATTCCATTTACCCTCCCTCTGACATATATATATATATACTGTGTTTTCTGGCATTTTAAATGGATCTTGTTGGGGTTTCCCTAACCCCTATGCATAATATTGTCACTATTTTATACAACCAATGTTTATTTGCATTTGCTTGGATATTTACCACTTTCTTTGCTTGTCATTCCTTCTTGTCTCTCAAACTTTCCTTCTAGGATTACTTTCCTTCTGCCTGAATAATATCCTTTAGAATTTGCTTTGGTGAGGGTCCCTGGGCGACCAATTCTCCGTTTTAGTTTGTCTGTCAATGTCATTATTTTGCCATCTTTTTTTCTCTGGCTGCTTTTAAGATTCTCTCTTCATCTTTGAATTTTGATAGTTTCACTGTAATGTGTCTAAGTGTGGATTTCTCTTTATTTATCTTGCTTGCAAATTCCTGGATGTCTTAACCTGTGTAATTGTCTAAATGGGAATGATAATATCTACATCATAGTATTTGGAGGATTAAATAAGGTAATACATGAAAAATTAAACACATGAAAAATTAAATAAGGTGATACATAAAAATGCTTAGTAAAATCCTTGATGCTAGAAAGTAATTAATAAATATTAACTATCATCATCATCATCACCATTGTCTTTCTGCTATTGCAGGTATCTCTCCTTGTCAATTCATTCTTCTTGCCTCATTTCTTCCTGGAGCATTTTAGCTATTATTATTTAAGTTATTATTGACTAGTCACTATATTGTGCTATCAAATAGTAGGTCTTATTCATTCTTTCTAATTATTTTGTACCCATTAACCATCCTCACCTGCCCCTAAGCCGCCTACTACCCTTCTCAGCCTCTAGTAACCATCCTTCTACTCTCCATGTCCATGAGTTCAATTGTTTTGCTGTTTAGATCCCACAAATAAATGATAACATGCAATGTTTGTCTTTCTGTGCATGGCTTATTTCACTTAACATAATGATCTCCAGTTCCATCCATGTTGTTACAGATGACTGGATCTCATTCTTTTTATGGCTGAATAGTACTCGATAATGTATATGTACCACATTTTCTTTAACCATTCATCTGTTGATGGACTCTTAGGCTACTTCCAAATGTTAGTTATTGTAAACAGTGCTGCAACAAACACAGGAGTGTAGACATCTCTTCGATATATTGATTTCCTTTCTTTGGGTTATATACCCAGCAGTGGGATTGTTGGATGACATGGTAGCTCAAATTTTCCTTTCTTGAAGAACCTCCAAACTGTTCTCCATAGTGATTGTACTAACGTACATTCCCACCAACAGTGTATGAGGGTTCCATTTTTCCATATCCTCGGCAGCATTTCTTATTGCTTGTCTTTTGAATATAAACCATTTTAACTGGAGTAAGATGATATCTCATTGCAGTTTTGATTTGCATTTCTCTGATGATCAGTGATGTTGAGCATCTTTTCATATCCCTGTTTGCCATTTGTATGCCTTCTTTTGAGAAATGTCTACTCAAATCCTTTGCCCATTTTTTTAGTCAGATTATTAGATTTTTTTTCCTATATAGCTCCTTATTTATTCTGGTTATTAATCCCTTATCAGGGTAGCTTGAAAATATTTTCTCCCATTCTCTGGGTTGTCTCTTTACTTTGTTGATTATATATTTTGCTGTGCAGAAGCTTTTTAACTTGATGCGATCCATATTTCCATTTTTGCTTTGATTGCCTGTGCTTACGGGAAATTGCTCAAAAAATATTTGCCCAGACCAATGTCCTGGAGATTTCACCAGTGTTTTCTTGTAATAGTTTCGTAGTTTGAGGTCTTAGCCTTTAATCCATTTTTATTTGATTTTTGTATACGGTGAGAGATAGGAGTCTAGTTTCATTATTCCACATATGGATACTCTGTTTTCCCAGAACCATTTATTGAAGAAACTGTCTTTTTCCCACTGGATGTTCTTGACACCTTTGTCAAAAATGAGTTCATTGCAGGTGTGAGGATTTGTTTCTGAATTTTCTATTCTGTTCCATTGGTCTATATGTCCGTTTTTATGCCAGTACCATGCTGTTTTTGTTACTATAGCTCTGTAGTACAAATTGAAGTCAAGTAATGTGATTGCTCCAGTTTTGTTATTTTTGCTCAGGATAGCTTTAACTATTCTGAGTCTTTTGTGGTTCCATATACATTTTAGGATTCTTTTTTCTATTTCTGTGAAGAATGTCATTGTTATTTTGATAAGGATTTCATTGAATCTGTAGATTGCTATAGACATTTTAACAATATTGATTATTCTAATCCATGAACATGGAATATTCTTCTTTTTTGGTGTCCTCTTTACTTTCTTTTATAAATGTTTTATAGTTTTTATAATAGAGATCTTCACTTCTCTGGTTAATTCCTAGGTATTTAATTTTATGTGTGGCTATTTTAAATGGGATTGCTTTTTCTGTTTATTTTTTTGCATTGTTAACTGTTGATATGTAAAAATGCTACTGATTTTTGAATGTTGATTTTGTATCCTGCAACTTTACTGAATTTGTTTATCAGTTCTAATAGTTTTCATGTGGAGTTTTAGGTTTTTCCAAATATAAGATTATATCATCCGCAAACAAGGATAAATTGACTTCTTCCTTTTCAATTTGTATGCCCTTTATGTCTTCCTCTTGTCTGATTGCTCTAGCTGGGACTTCTAGTACTATGTTGAATAACAGTGGTGACAGTAGGCGTCCTTGTTGTGTTCTAGATCTTAGAGAAAAGGCTTTCAATATTTCTTCATTCAGTATGATACTAGCTGTGCATCTGGTCGTATACGGCTTTTATTATGTTGAGTTATGTTCCTTCTATACATAGTTTTTTGAGGGCTTTTAATCATGAAGAGATGTCGAATTTCATCAAATGCTTTTTCAGCATCAGTTGAAATTATATGGTTTTTAACTTTCTAGTACTTTAAAGAGATGTTTATACAATATAAATCCATCTGAAATACAATGTTACATATAAGATCAAAATCTATGTATTTTCTAAAAAAAAAAATCAGTGTTGTAATATTTGCTTACCACATCAATTTTTGTAAATCTCATAGGTGTTCAATTCGAATTTTGTTAATAAGTGGTGAGGTTGAGCCAAATTTTATTTTAAATTACTTTTCCTTTTTTTGCAGATTTATAAGTGTTCTGGATGTGTGTATTATTTAGGGTTCCAGTTCAGCTGCTAAAACTGAAGTTTAAAATAATAGAAGCTTAAACAAGATTGGTGGGATAAACTATAGTTGAAGCTGCTGCATTTGGTTCCAAGGTCATCACTGATATTCTTCATCTCTCTCCTCTACTACACATTGTAGAGTCTTCACTCCTTAGACCAGAACTTTTGCTCATCCAGATTTCTGATGGGGTAATATAGCACTCACCCATGAGTAAAACCTACTTACTTCACCATAGTAGATTGGGCCATAGTTCTTAAAATTGGTCTTTCATTATTATTATCAGGACCAAAAGCATCAAAAAGCATTGCAGTATATGTGCTGAATCTCAGACATGTCTTTCCTACTCCCAGGTAGGTAGAAGCCACCCTATCTCCCCACAATACTCATGATCAAGCACCCTGGTCAATATATTAACTCCTTTCTTTGCCTGCTGATCTACAGGAATGAGAAGTCCACAATAAGCAGGTCAGCAGCTGTAGCTTTAAGGTTAGTAGAACACATATGTCCCCCACCAGATACCATTCCCTTCCATCACCCAAGAGTCAGGACCCTAATACAACAGAGCTAAAATTTCTGAGACAGAAAACACGATTTCCCCCCAAATGATCAGCAGAAGTAATGGTAAAGGGACTACTCCAACTTCCACTCCTTGGTTTCTGGACCCATATGTTCCTGCTATTGAGGCCATGGCACATACAATGACCATTTGGTTCTAAGTATCTAGAAGAACAGCACTCTAATGTTGCAGACTATTTGCCCCTCACTGGTACATTAGCTGCTCCTTTAAGATTCTGACAGGCAGATTTCAAAATGGTGCAGGATACTGAAAGACCACTGGATCTGGTGGTTTTGTGCTCACTATTAAACTTTGTTTGCCATAAAGTGATTCCCTTTGTCTGAAACCAGTGGTTCTCAACTGGGAACATTCCATCCCCTCATGAATATCTGGCATTGTCTGGAGACATTGTTGTTTTTCAAACTAGAGGGACAGGGTACATGATGCTACAGGCATCAAATGGGCAGAAGCCAGCAACGCTACTAAACATCCTACGGTGCCCAAGTCAGCACCCCCATAACAAAGAATTATCCAAATGTCAATAGTGGTAAAGTTGAGAATCTCAATCTAAGACAATGTTATGTGGGATTCTATGTCAGTATATCAGAAACTCTGTGAAACCTCAGACAGTGATCCTAGCTGAGGACTGCAGGCAGAGAAGGCAAACTATTGCCAGTGAGGTATTAAAATATGTATTAATCCCTGTAAGGATAAATTGCTATGTGCTCCAGAGTGGAAAGGGTCTGATGTAGTCAATTTATCACTAACTGGCTGGTTGGTTTCCCCAGGGGTGGAACCATATTGAGGACAATGTCAGTCTCTGGTGCTATCGGGGGACATATTCATCAGAGTGGTAGCTATATCAGCCACGGGCAGTGGAAGCCCATGCTGTTGGTCTCAGGTATAGCCTCCATCGTGCCATAATATCTATTCTTATTATTGACCCATTGTGCCAATACTTGGGGGGAACAGAGACAGAGGATGGCTGAGCTCCATGGATGATTAATCTCAACCACCTGACTGTTGACTGCACATTCTCTCTTAGACACTTTCTGTAGGGCATTGCAGTAGCACAAGCCAAGTCATACATTTCTTTTTTTTTTTTTTTTTTTTTTGAGACAGAGTCTCGCTCTGTCGCCCAGGCTGGAGCGCAGTGGCGCGATCTCAGCTCACTGCAAGCTCCGCCTCCCAGGTTCACGCCATTCTCCTGCCTCAGCCTCCCGAGTAGCTGGGACTACAGGCGCCCGCCACCACGTCCAGCTAATTTTTTTGTATTTTTTTAGTAGAGACAGGTTTTCACTGTGTTAGCCAGGATGGTCTTGATCTTCTGACCTTGTGATCCACCCGACTCAGCCTCCCAAAGTGCTGGGATTACAGGCGTGAACCACCTCGCCCGGCCAAGCCATACATTTTTAACTGCACCATGGCCCCACTGGTGACTGTTACAGATAAATGCAATTCAAAGCCCTTTTTTACTCTTCAACCATACTGCCAGTGTGGTAATTTTATCCACTCACCCAGAATGTTAAATGCCACCACCAAGCCACTCTGTTATCTCAGTGACATTAGGGAGCCTGATTCCATAGACCACACCTGGCCTACAGAGTACAGTTATCACAGAGCTTCCCAACAATGCCACCAGCGTCCCCCTCAGTGCCATGCTCCTAGCACTTTAGTGAAGAGAGCGCCCTTTGTGCTCCTCAAGGAACATAGTCAATTGGTGGGTTCTCTGGTTTTACAGAATAAATCTCTTTTAACTTGGCCATTTATCTGAGCCTTTTGATCCCTTCTCCAATAATTTGTCAAGATAATTCTATCATATCTACTGTATTTCCTGTGGGCCACCAATGTGCTCAGGCTTCAAAGGAGACATCCCAGCAGGGCATGAGGACTGGCTCCAGGTGTCCTTGACAAGATGTTAAATCCTGGATCATTAGAGAATGTCCCCGTATCAATTATCTTTAGCTTCATAGCCTGCCCTCCCTGGCTCGGCATCCTCAGGTTCCATCCCCAGGTATGTTCTCCTAGTTCTGCTGGTACCTATTAGCCAGGTCCCACAGCTCTTTGGGTGAATAATCCTTTTATTCTTTTCCTCCCATAGCATAGGCAGTAGGTGCTCAATATAGCCATGCCTTAGTTATTTACTTTTGACTTAGTTACCTTGACCTTAGTCATTTACTTTTAGGTAATGAGAGGAAGCAGGAACTGATTTCAAAGAGACAAAGCATCTCTTGCAAGGCCATTACCTCAGGTAAGGCATTTGCATAGTCTTCAGGACAAGGAAGGCTGTTTGCTCCAGCAATCCAGCCCAGCACATCCCCAAATGAACCTGCCTCAAATCTAAGAGCCCCACTCCATGCCTGTCAGATCCTTGACTTTCAACAGGAGATTTTCCAGGGCAGTGAATTCAGCCTCTTCTGTATCTTCACCTGTAGGTGAAAAATAGGCCGCAGTGAGACTTGGCCCTTGGGCTTTAATTTGTAAAGCCCCTTTCTACACAGTTTTTCTCAGCCAGATTGGGCTCCAGGTGCCTGCAATAGTAACTTGCTCATTTACATGTGCTGTGTATTTAACTCTTACCCTTGTAACTTCACTTCCTCATTGCCCAGTTAATGCTTTCTCAGACCTCCTCCCACATGGACTACTTTACTCAGATTCTTATCTCAGTGTAGATTTCTGGGTAAACCTAAATTAAGACAGTTGCTAACAAAAATGAGTATAGAGAGCAGACTTCAGGGTGAGATTCTGGGAATCGAGGCAACAAGGACCCAGGAGGACCTGAGGGCCCCATTTCTCTCTCGAGTATGGTGGTACCTCCAGCACTCAGTAGCATCATAAAATTAGTAGGATTTCCACCAGTAGTGGATTGGGATGGGGTGCAGGCAGAAAGGGATGCACTGACTTCTGCAAACTCTGGAGCTTGAAAGATATGTAGAGCTGGTTAGCTGTTATTACAAGCCATAGCAGCCCTGAATGAAGAAAACAACAGAGTTAGGTCAGCTAAATATCAGCTCAGGGTTCTCTATGAAAGCCAGAAGCCTATTGCTCCTAGGCTACAAACCCATACAGCATGCTATTGTACTGAAATCTGTAGCCAATTGTAATACAATGGTAAGTATGTGTGTATCTAAACATATGTTAAGATAGAAAAAATACAATAAAAATATGATATAAAAGATTTTAAAAGGCACATCTGTGTAAGACATTTACCATGAATGGAGCCTGTAGAACTGAAAATTGCTCTGGGTGAGTCAGTGAGTGAGTGGTGAGTGAATGTGAAGACCCAGGACATTACCACACACTACCGCAGACCCTAGAAACACTGTACACTTGGCTACACTAAATTTATGTTTTAATTATTTTTCTTCCTTCAGTAATAAATTATTTTTCGCTTACTATAACATTTTTGCTCTATAATCTTTTCCTTTTTTAACTTTTTGACTCTTCCGTAATAGCACTTTTAGCTTAAAACACAAACACATTGTACAACAGTACAAAAATATTTTCTTTCTTTTTATCCTTATTCTATAATCCTTTTCTACTTTAAAATTTTTGAATTTTATTATTTTTAAAAACTTTTTGTTAAAAATGAAGACAGAAACACACACATTAGTCTAGGCCTACACAGAGTCAGGATCATCAATACCACTGTCTTCTATCCCCCCATCTTTCCCCACTAGAAGGTCTGCAGACGCAATAACAAGCATGGAGCTGTCATCTCCTATATCATTGCCTTTTTCTGGAATACCTCTCTAAGGTCCCACCCGAGGCTATTTTATAGTTAACTTTTTTTTTTTATAAATAGAAGGAGTACAATTTAAAATAACAATAAATGTATAGTATAGTGAACTCATAAACCAGTAATATAGTTGTTTATTATCATTATCAAGTATTATGCAGTATACATACTTGTATATACTATACGCTTATATGATTGGCAGCACAGTAAATTTATTTACACCAGCATCACCACAAACACATGAGTAATGCATTATGCTAAAACATGCTAGAAATTTTTCAGCTCTGTTATAATCTTATGGGACCACCTTCATACATGTGGTCCATCCCTGACCAAAATATCATTATGTAGTGTAAAACTGTATCTCATAAATTTCCTTCTAGTCTTTTTCTATAAATACACAAATATGAAGGTAGATGAGTATATTTTTGCCAAAAAAGAATCATACCAAATACATAGCATAATGCAACTTGGTTTGTACCTTGAACAGAGTGTCACAGACTTCTTTATGTAACATTTCATATAGATCTACTTTCTGTATTTTGAGTGGGTACATAATATTCAATAGTATGAAAAGACAACAATGTATCTAATCATTCATTCCCCTGCTCATGTTTTTTGGTTTTCAATTTTGCACTATTACAAATAATGATACAATGAATATCTTTACACAAATATTCATGTGTATTTGCATAATTATTTCTGTAAAATAAGTTTCTGTATGTTGAAGTGCTGGATCAAAGGTATGTGCATTCCTCATTTTTTATAGGTTCTATAGGTTCCACTGAATTGAACTTATAGAATTTGTATCAACAACACTATTAATCCTTTTATATTTTACAATTCTGATAGGTAAAAAATCATATCTCATTGTAATTTTAATTTATGTGTCTTCTTTTCAGAAAAATTATGTCAGTAATTGGCATAGAATGGCCCCTCATAATACATATCTATTATATTATGAGCTATTATAATAGTCCAATTAGAATAAAGAATATTATACAGGTAATATTATAATAGACTGTCATAAAGTAATAGCTTTTCTCATCATCTCACCTAAAGATTGTCATATAACAGAGAGTGCCACACTTAACTTCTGGTTGAATGCTAGCTTTTGCAGTTTGCTACTTACATATATTAAGCCCTTAATATATGCCAGGTATTAGACTAATTGCTTTATGTGAATTGTCTCATTTAATTCTCATAAGAGCATACGAGGTAGATACTGATAGTCTCTCCATTTTAAAGGTGATGAAGCTGAGTTATATATAAATGTAAAACTTGTCCAAGGACACATATTGGTAAGTGGCAGACAGGGAATCAAACCAGAAAATCTGACTCCAGAGTTCTTGTCCTTGACTGACATACTCTGCTGATCACAGTGTACCACATAGAACCTATGAGAGCTTTACCTTTGCTTTTATAATAATATAGAATAATAGATAAAGCCCCTAATTTTAACCATAATTTAAATAGAGGAAGATATGTGACACATGATTAGGTAAGTTTTCTGTGGTGATTATTTGTCTACCTAATACAGAAATATGATAGCAATATTTCCAAGTTACCTTGATTCTTGGCCTCCTATAAAACCTTATCAATTATCAACTATCTTTCCCAAAATGACAGGTTTACCAAATAACAAAAAAGTGAATTAAAATTAAGATTAAATTAAAATAGGAAGGCAAAAATTAATGTAACTTGGAAATATTATTATATCTCCATAGTTTTGTGCATTTTTTACAAATAACATTTGCTTAGAAATAAATGTTTAAGTAAATTCTGCATCTGAAATTATCAAAATAACCCACCTATGTGTAGGATCTGAGGAGTCTTCTGTTGTGTTAAAGTGCCATCTACAGCAAACATTGAAATAGCTGCACAAAATGTGTCTGCGGGATATTCCTTTCCGTGTTTATTTCAACATCAACTCCTTACATTAAGTCCCACTCCATCAGCCATGGTCCATGTTTACCCCATGGTTATTTTCGTTCATTATTATCATCTCTTGGAATGCAGGGAATATTTTTGAAAGGAAATGAGCCAGGCAGACATATCTGGAGACTTCACAGATGGCATTTTTTTAATAATAGTTTTGTTTTCATTTTGCTATTGAAAAGTCCTTCCAGACCCCTTTGCAACATGCAATAATGCACTCACATTAACTGATACATGATGCGTGCTTCTGCTATTTTTCCCTGCTTCACTTGGCAATTAAACACATGATTTCCCTGCAAATGACTATAATTTTTTGCTTCCATAATATTTATGTCAACTCTAAAGGAGCTGGGAGTTGGCATCCTGAAAACCTGACCATCTGAGGCAATGGCAGCAGCATGTAATTTCATCTGTATCCACTAATTACTGGATGATCAGAACACCAGAAATAAAAAATCATATGCTAAAAAACCATAATGCATGCCCTCAGCTGGCTAAATCAGTAATTTGAAGCTATGTGCAAATGAGCACATAACTTTCTGAGTGATTTATTGCTGTTTTGGGAATACAGACTGAGCTTTGAAAATATCTCATTTGACCTGAACTACAAACTTTAAGATGACTGTGACATAAAGCCCCATGCAGATGATACAAAGACTTCTGTAGAAGTGGCCCTTTCTATGTCAAAAGGTATGATGAGAGAGCACATGGTTTGCAGAACTGTCCATGAGATTGTCTGAACGAGGTGCCAATAAGTTGAAGGCAGAATTCAGACACTGAAACTCCTGTAGTTATTTGTATTTCTGCATTTGGGCCTTATGAAAAGATGATGTGCCATTTAAGCTTTTGTTGCAGCCCAGGAACTGCCAGCTCCCTCTTTTCATATTCTAAGTTCACTAAGCCTTCAACATTAAACTAGCCCAGTTGCCCCAGTTTGCATATGACGAAACTGAGGTCAAGAGAGATAAAATCACTTTCTCCAAATGACACATTGAAATAGTGGCAAATGCTGGCCAGGTGCGGTGACTCACGCCTGTAATCTCAGCACTTTGGGAGGCCGAGGCAGGCGGATCACGAGGTCAGGAGACTGAGACCATCCTGGCCAACATGGTGAAACCTTGTCTCTACTAAAAATACAAAAATTAGCTGGGTGTGGTGGAGCTTACCTGTAATCCCAGCTACTTGGGAGGCTGAGGCAGGAGAATCACTTGAACCCGGGAGGCAGAGATTGCAGTGAGCCGAGATCACACCACTGCACTCCAGCCTGGTGACAGAGCAAGACTCCGTCTCAAAAAACAAAAAAAAAAGAAAGAAAAAAATAGTGGCAAATGCCAACTAGGAACCTGGCCCATTCATTCCAGAGCCATTTCCAGGTCACCACACAAGGTCCTGAGTGTTCACAAGTTGCTTCCTTGCTTCACTCTAGAGGATTCACTTTGGCTTGTTGGACTGGGCCTTCCTCACTCATGGTAACTGCCCTGACCAACAGACAGACCCCCAAGACCCTGGCCTAGCAGAATGTCTTCCCTGCTCTGCACCTCCTACCACATTCCTCGTTTATATTCACTTGGCAAATATTTGATGGGCACTGACTATTTCACTAAATAAACATATATTGAGATTTACCATTCTCTAGGCCCTGGAGCTATAGAAACAGCATGCAGTCAATTGCCGTCCTTTGCAGTAATTATATCCTATCAGTCACCACAAACACTGAATTAGCAAATACTGACCCATTGCTCCTAAGGGAAATATAGGGCTAGGTTCCTGAGAGCCTTTGGTTACAGCATTTGAATCAAATGATCAATACATAACCTTGTTTTATGTGTGTTTCTGTTTAAAGACACTTAAGATATATTGCTAATTCATTAACACTGAACTTATGGCCAACAGCACTATAACTCATGCCTTAAAAAAGCTTATCTAATAAATGTATTTTCTTTTTTCTTTTTTTTTGAGATGGAGTCTCACTCTTGTCACCCAGGCTACAGTGCAGTGGTGCGATCTCAGTTCACCGCAACCTCTGCCTCCTGGGTTCAAGTGATTATCCTGCCTCAGCCTCGCAAGTAGCTGGGATTACAGGTGTCCACCACCATGCCTGGCTGATTTTTGTATTTTTGTATTTTTATGTTGGCCAGGCTGGTCTCCAACTCCTGACCTCAGGTGATCCGCTCACCTTGGCTTCTCAAAGTGCTGGAATTACAGGAGTGAGCCACCGCACCTGACCCAATAAAAGTATTTTCTCAGTTAGTAATGTCACAGCCTTCTTGAGCTTAGGAACACTAGACAACACATCTTCACTACATTTGAAAGCCATTTTAAGCAATTAGATCAACAACAAAAACATAAAAATTCAAAATACATGTTACTAAATAGAGCAGGAAGGGGACCCTTGTCTACAGTATGAGAGCAAAAACAAGAATAGAGCAGAAAGGGGACACTTGTCTATAGTATGAGAGCAGAAACAAGAAGGCAGAGCATGTCCTTGTTTGACCTTACCTGGGAACATGCATCTCAGGAGGCTCAAATATTTTGCTACTCTGCACATCTTCATGAATGGCCACAAGAGCACCTTGGGTGTTGATTTTAGAGTTACAAATAAACTTTAGTAAGTAACCATTTACAAATAAAAAATCCATGAATAATCAGGATCAAATATGACTCCTGCTCCTGCTGAAGCCATAGAGCTATGTGCTGCAAGAGTCAGAGGAGAATAGATATAGACAGTAGGGTATCTAGGAAAAATGTCATGGAGGGAAGCACATAAAATGGGTTTTAGAGAACTGTCAAAATCTAAATAGTAAAAAAGGTCTCCAGGTTGATTCTGTTTTTCTTCTTACTCTCTAATATAGTAAGATAAACATGTTTTCTTTCTTCTGGAAAATCTGTTTTAAGAGTCTTGCTACCTTAATACAAAGAAGCAAGAGTTAGTTACCAGACAAGGCCAGTGTGGACTAGAACTCAGAACACTTTTCAGATCTCTTGTGTCACACAATTAATAGAGCAATATATATTCCCCTTAACATCAAACATAGCAGAGGATCATAGAAGAACCTCCAATGCAACAACAGAGCCATTTAGCAACCACAGCTGAACTTCTAGAATAAAGTGAAGGAATATCCACAGCCTTGTGGTTCCTGTCTTGAGACTAAAGCAACAACAGGATGTGTACATGGTATTTCTGAAAGCTCCTAGTCAGCTTAGGGAGGACCACGAGCTCAACAAAGGGGCCCAACAACCTTCATTCATGAGTTAACAATCAGGACCATCCACACAATCCCTTTTCCAAAAAATAACTTAGGTCATATTAACTACTGGAAGGTCTTTGTTAATATGGATCATTAGACCAAAACCTGTGCTGTTATAAAGACCCCTGTCAAATTTATAATTGGATCATTAGACCAAACGCCTGTGCTCCTTATAAAGACCCCTGTCATTGGTGGTCTACTAAAGAAGTCTCACTGGATCATTACACTGGGTATTAAAATCCTGGTAGTAATGGGCATTCGTGACTATTCCAGGGCCAGCTAAGCAGATTGATGATTGCTCAGACATTTTCACAATTCTTCTTCTCCACAGAGAATGAGAGGGAAAAGAAGAGACTGTAATATGTATCAGTCAAATGTATTATTTATAAACTTACTTTTATGAGAATTTGATGGGACTAAAATTTGGAATTGATAGTCAAAGTAGGATTTAGAAGCTATCAACAAATTCTGACATAACAACCTACTTTCAATATAATTACCTTTCCCTGTTTCTCCTTCTCTCTTTCTCTTCTCTTTTTTCTCTAATCTTTACACTAAATCAAAAAACAACACTTTACTAGCAAATGCAGAAAACCCACTATATAGTCATTTTTTAGGTTTTTTTATTTTTAAATATGAACAAAGACTGAATATATTAAAGGTGTGCAATGGATTTGATGTACATATACATTGTATAATGATTACTACAATCAAATTAATTAACACATCCATGACCACTCATGCTGTACATTAGATCCCAGAAACTGTTCATTTATAACTGACAATTTGTACCCTTTGATCGCTGTCTCCCTATTCCCCCCATCCCTACTCCCAGCTCTTGGCAACCACTGTTTTCTGTTTCTATAATTTCAACTTTTTTAGATTTCACATGTAAATGAGATCACACAGTATTTATTTTTCTGTCTCTGGCTATTTCACTTAACATAATGTCTTCTAGGTTCATCCATGTTGTTGCAAATGGCAGGATTTCCTTCTTTTTATGGTTGAATAATATTCTGTGTGTGTGTCTGTCTGTCTGTCTGTCTGTCTGTCTGTGGTTTGAATATGTCCCCACCAAAATTCATGATGAGACTTAATCACCATTGTGGTGGCATTAAGAGGTAAGGCCTTTTGGCAAGTAATTAAGTCAGGAGGACTTTGCCCTCATAAATGGATCAGTGCCTTGTAAAAGGGCTGAAAGGAACTATTTAGGCCCTTTGCCCTTCAGCCTTCCACCATGTAAGGACACATCATTTGTTCCCTTTGGTGAATGCAGCAACAAGGTGCCATGCTGGAAGCAGCAAACAGGACCCTCGTAAGACACCAAAATCATCAGTGCCTTGATCTTGAACTTCTCAGCCTCCAGAACCGTGAAAAATTAATTTCTGTTCTTTATAAATTACCCAGTATCTGGCATTTTGCTATAGCAGTACAAATGGACTAAGCCAAAGAGAGAGAGAAAGAGAGAAACATTTTCTTTATCCATCCATTTGTCCACAGACACTTAGGTTAGGTTAGGTAGACACAGATAGGTTGTCACCATATCTTGGTTACCATGAATAATGCTGCAATGAACATGGGGATACAGATATCTCTTCAAGATACTTATTTCATAGCCTTTAGATATATACCCAGCAGTGGGATTGCTGGATGGTATGATAGTTCTATTTTTAATTTTTTGAGGAAATTGCAAACTGTTTTTGGACCCTTGTTTTACACCATATACAAAAATTAACTTCAAATGGAATAAGGACTTCACTGTAAGTTCTGAAACCATAAAACTCCTAGAAAAAAAAATATAGGAGAAAAACTCCTTTACATTGTCCTTGGCAATGATTTTTTGGATATGACACCAAAAGCACATGCAACGAAAGCAAGAACAAACAACTGGGACTACTTCAAATAAAAAGCTTCTGCACAGCAAAGGAAATGACAAAATGAAAAGAAACCCTACAGCATGGGAAAAAATATGTTTGCAAACCCTATTCTGATAAGGGGTTAATATCCAAAATATATAAGAAACTCATACAACTCTATAGCAAAAACAAACTTGATTTAAAAAATGGGCAAAGTACTTGAATAGACATTTCTGAAAAAAGACATACAAATGGCCAACAGACATATGAAAATGTGCTCAACATCGTTGATTATGAAAGAAATGCAAGTCAAAAACACAAGATATCCCCTCATACCCATAGGCTGGCTATTACCATTCTATGTCCTTCTAAAATTTCTCTATCATTCTGGTTACTTGAGTTAAGCGATCTAAAAAAATTATCTCTAGATTAATTGCTTAGCTTAAATAAGCTTGAATAAATAGAGTCCTAACATAATTCTGGAGTAAATATTATGAAGATATCAATGATTTTGAAATTAATTTATAATATATACTTCAGAACAGAGTCTAAAATATATCTGGAGGAATAAATGAGAAAAGCAAAGTTTTGAAAAAATTCATTAATAGATAGTAAAAATATTATCAAGCCACAATTTAGAAAATATTTCAAGTGTGTTACTTGCTGTCAAATATAGCAGTAGATTAATAGGGCAGAATGAAATTCAGGAGTAGGCCTAACAGAATATAGTTTAGCATATGACAAATCAGAAATGATAAGTGGTTCTATTTCAATAGATAACTGTTTGGAAAAAATACATCAAATGAAATTATTACCTCATACCATATGCTAAAATATATCAGATAAATTGCAAAGTTGTAAAGAAGGAAATTACTGAAAGAAGTATTAGGCCTATACAATAGACGGACAGCACCCATTTGTGCCAGCATAAATGACTATGTATCTCACAAAAGCTCTCCCACTACAAGACACCAGGAAATGAAACTGTGAGGCAATAGAGGGAGTGGGGAGGACTCTTCATCATAGTAGAAATCAGGGACTGAAGTCATTATCTTCCATGAAACACTATTTGGGGTTTTAATGGCCTCAGCAGGATCACGGTCAAGGCACGAGGTGAAGATATGAGATTGAGATTCCCACAAATGTGGGAACACTCCATCAGCTATACCCTCAGAGACTAGCCCTCATTCAGGTGTGGAATTAGAATGTACACTCCTTCAATGGGACCAGACACCCCAAGCAGGGGCATTACCTCATATTTCCCAGGTGATTGCACCCTAGGGCATGTAGAAGATGCAAATCCTGGTCCTCTTTGGGGAAAGCCATTCTTAACCTAGGCTTCCCAGGGCTTCCACAGAGAGAACCTCACTAAATATAAAATCACAATCAAAAATTTCAAAACACACAAGAAAACAGGAAAACTTTGCTGAATAACTGTCCACTTTTGGGGTAGAAAGGGAAGAATTTTCCAAGCAAAACTACAGTGAAAAAAAGCACAATTAAAAATAACACTAATGAAATTAATAGCTAACATTTATGGAGCATGTATTAAATGCCAGACTCTGCTAACTGCTCTCCATACATTATTCCATTGGGTTTCCTACAGTAACCCTTTAAGGCAAGTAGTATTATTCCCCATGTGCAGAAGCCCCATCGTGTATTAACTATTAGCAAATATTAGAGTGGTTCAGTGGTCATGTGCTTGCAGGGACACAGAATTTCTCTACCCTGAGGGGTGAATTATAACTGATGTAATACCACTCTCCTTGCCAGTGATAGGTTTAGGCACAGGCATGTGATGCAATTTTGGTCAATGAAACCTGAGAGTGTGTTTGCTTGATATATTTCTTGCTCTTAAAATATAACACAAAAGATGCTTTATTTTTGCCTCCGGAGTTGTCCATCTGCATATACTAAAGCCAGCTTGAGAGTTTGAGAGAAATCAGTCTAAGGGTATGAGCCAACAGGCTGAGAATGGCAGTGCAAAAAGATCCAAGATCCTAAGTCCTGGATGGTGTGGAGCTGCAGGATCTAGAAAGCTTGCAACTACCAGACCTTTTTTTAGACCTGTGCTTCTCAAAGTGGGGTCCATGTAATAGTAGCTGTTGTGAACTTTAATAGGCCTCAGTGAGATATCACATGCAAGGCATAAAGCAGTGTGCCATTTCCTTCACTGAGAAAGTCTCACTACCAAAAAAAAAAAAAAGTTTACCAAATAGTGTTTACTTATCTACTAAACTAAGGGTGTTTTTTTGCTTTCCATTCTGGAGCAGGCTACTTAGGTCATCACTGGCTGGTATCAAATAGTTTGCAAACTGGCATTTAGGGTAGCACTGCTGGAATTTTTTGTTGTGGAAAACAGTAAATGCCTTTATTGTTTAGGTCATTAATATTTGGGTTTTCTGTGGTTGGCAACTGAAAGCATTTGGACCAAAGGTGATATCAAATATGGTATGTTCAAATAACCGGATGTTATGCACCCATATTTCCAGATATTATTTTGTGATACACCTACAAATATTACATTAAAAAGTAGGATACAAAACTACTTATGCAGTATGACCTCACTTTTCTACATACATGGTAACATACAACAAGAGTAAAAGGGATATATCAAAATGTTATTAGTGAGTTAGCTAACTAAATAGCATTAAGTGTGTGCTATTAGTTAATGCTAAAAGTCATGGGCATAGTTCCCAAAGTGTTTGTACATATTTTCCAAAAGTGCCACAATGAACACGTGTTAGTTTAATAATTATTAAAAATTTTTAAGTGTGCCTTTTCAAAGTAATAAATCCCTGCCCTAAAAGGAAGTTTTATGTTCTGTTTGAAACTATTTGGCTTTAAAACAAAAAATAAATGCTAAAAGGTTAAAGATTTAAATATTAAAAATTTAAAAATATAACAAGAGGTGTAAAAAATATATATTGGTAAATTTGAGGTGAGGAGGAGACTTTCATAAATGAGATGAAACACCCAGAAGTCAAATGAAAAGAGATACATATTTGCACATACATAAAAATTGGACCATAAATAAAGTCAAAAGATAAATGATGAACTCAGAAAAGATTGCCCCATATAACAGACAAATACAAAATATAATGTTATCTATAAAAATAGAAAATATACTATGAAACATACTATAAAAATCATGTCTTCAAGTTGATAAGGAAAAGGCACAAGCCAATAGAAAAATGGGCAATGGATATGAAAGACAAGTCTCACAAGAAAAAAATCTAAACTAAAAATACACTCAACTTCACTTGTTATCACTGATCCAAGTGGTAGTACTGATACAAATTCATAATCCAAGAAAATACAGTTTTCCCCCAATATATTGGCAAAGGTTTTAAGAAAGCAGTATCATCCAGTGTTCAAGAATATGCACAGAAACAGAAGTTATATACACTGCTGAACACTTACATTTCGCTGGTAAGGTTACAAAATATTATTTTTAGAATGCAATCTACTATTTCAATAACTATTGAAATTTAAAATATCTTTTTAATTTTTTTTGTCTTTTGATTTCACCTTCTCTCTTTTAAGAATCTATCTTGCAGAAATAAAGGCACTATGACACAAGGATAACTATACAAAGATGTTTGTTGCAAAGTTGCAATTCCAAGAACTTTAAACCACCCCTGAATGCCCATCAAGAAGGGACTGGTTGAATAGGGTATGTGACATTCATACTACTTGAACATATGGCAGTTATTTATTTTTTCTTTTTTTTTGAGACTTTGAGATGGAGTCTCGCTCTGTCGCCAGGCTGGAGTGCAGTGGCGCAGTCTCGGCTCACTGCAACCTCTGCTTCCTGGGTTCAAGTGATTCTCCTGCCTCAGCCTCCCGAGTAGCTGAGACTACAGGTGCATGCCACCACGCCCAGCTAATTTTTTGTATTTTTAGTAGTGACACGGTTTCACCATGTTGGCCAGGATGGTCTCAATCTCTTGACCTTGTGATCCACCAGCCTCGGCCTCCCAAAGTGCTGAGATTACAGGCTTGAGCCACTGCGCCTGGCCTGCAGTTATTTCTTGATGAGTTTGATATCCATTTATGGTACTCCAAATGTCCTGCTAAGTTACATGCTACTTATTTCACTGATGCCATCTCCACCATCCTTCATTCAGTCACGTATCTCAAGAAATCTCTTCAACACAGGTTCTATTCACCAAAGAACAGCCTCCCCAAGGCCCCCAAAATTTGATCACACACACCTTTAAATCTGCATTGACTCTACTGTTTGGTTTTTCAAGCATTCCCATAAGACCACTAGAACAGGACTCTGGGGCCATTAGCCCTCTGTTTAGAAAGCTAATTTTATAGACCTACCTGATATTGGCCTGACCCCTTTCCTACAAGGAGTCTGTCTGGTCATGGTTTTCATGATATTTGTCTTTTGTCCTGTGGGTAGAAGTATTGGTAACCTACCATTACTTAGATGCTATGGCACATAGCATCTAAGAATAGCATCTAAGATCCTATGAGGCTGGGCACATTGTATCACCCTTAAGGCATATGAATTATAGACAGTGGTATGTCAAAGAAAATTAGTACCAGTTAAAACAAGCAGGGAACACTTTATTCGAGACTATTGGAATAGTGGAGAGAGATTCAATTTAACCCGACTGAAACAAAAGGAATGACAGATTTTAAGCATTGGGCTGAGCCAGGGAAAAGGCACTACAAGACATTAGAGGGGAGGTTGGTCAATGTGATGAAGCCATCTGTACTTGCTAATTGGTGTTTATCCGAGTTAGGCTCCTACTCTTCCACAGAGACAGGGAGACAAGGGCACTATTCTCCTTGATGATTACATCTAAAAGAGATGGTTCCCAGGTCCTTGAGAAAAACAGTCCTGGGTTGTGCAACTAGCAAGACCCTGGGAGAATATTTCAAAGGGGCAGAGAAAGAATTTTCAACAGAAGTTTTTCTAAAGTAAATGCCCTAAGAATCCAAGAGCGGCCTATAGTCAGGAAGAAACCTATCTACAGTTTAGTCAAGCTGAGAGGACTGGGAGGTTATCTTGGCCAGGTGTGATGGTAAGTGCTTAACAATCAGCTCTTGGGAGAGAGGGCCTGCTTTATAGCATAGGACAATTTCCAGAGTATAGGTCACTGAATGCAGACTTGGAAGGACACGTTGACAGTCCGCTCCTCTGAGCCGGTAGGAGATGGCACAAGGTCCCCACCAGCTGAGAGACGTGTTCACTCTGTCCAGCCCGGCATGTGGCCCAGGAAAGATGTCCATGATGTATTAAGTAAAACCTGAACATTATTACTCTGCTTAAAATCGAGAATATGATTCCATTTTTAAACTGTGTATATGGTTGCAAATTCTTACATAAGCATAGAGAAAGATGAAGAGAATACACATGATTAACAATTGGCGTAACAGTTTATGGTTTATGGTTATGATTTATGTCCCTGTTGGTCATGAACTAGTTTTATGTATAACCCAACAAATTTCTCCTAACATTAACTGTAAATACCTAACTTCTCCAAAGATCTTTAAACCTGTTTTTAAATCTTACTGGTTCCCTTGTTAATTAATGAGTTGAATACAGTCTTTCATATTCTTTGATATGTATCCATTTTATATTTGCAAGAGAATCATTATAAAACCTTCTTGAAAATTATGCTTTAACACTTTGTTTATTGTCTGCCTCTTTACATTACAATATAAGTTGAATGAGGGAAGGGATTTTTGCCTGCATGACCAGTGCCTACTGCCATACCGGGCATGTTGTGAGCACAAAACCTTGAAAATAGAGAATTTGACTTTCAGAAATTCTACATCATCTTGAACACCTTTCTTCTTTCTGTTGACTTTTAAGCGTGATCCCATAAATCTCTGCTTCTCTTTGACTTTCTTTTTTCCTCATAAGGGCTAGGGGGCACACAGGCAAGAAAAAGGTGTTTAAACTGGTTTCTGTCATGGGACTTCCTTCTTGGTACAAATTTGTGGTCAGACAAGGTACTTAAATGAAATGTCTAGTGAAAGAGAACATGAGTCCCTGAAAAGCACTAATAAATCATGCCTATTGCACACATGAGCAGAGGCAGGTGACCTCAAACTAAACGGAAAGTGACTGACCTGCAAAGAAAACTCATCTTATAATTTCCATCTGTTCATTAACTGAAGGAATTTTTATAAGAACTTTGCTCAAGTCATTTTAAATCAGAGATATAGATCAATGGAACAGAACAGAGCCCTCAGAAATAATGCCGCGTATCTACAACTATCTGATCTTTGACAAACCTGAGAAAAACAAGCAATGGGGAAAGGATTCCCTATTTAATAAATGGTGCTGGGAAAACTGGCTAGCCATATGTAGAAAGCTGAAACTGGATCCCTTCCTTACACCTTATACGAAAATTAATTCAAGATGGATTAAAGACTTAAACGTTAGACCTAAAACCATAAAAACCCTAGAAGAAAACCTAGGCATTACCATTCAGGACATAGGCATGGGCAAGGACTTCATGTCTAAAACACCAAAAGCAATGGCAACAAAAGCCAAAATTGACAAATGCAATCTAATTAAACTAAAGAGCTTCTGCACAGCAAAAGAAACTACCATCAGAGTGAACAGGCAACCTACAAAATGGGAGAAAATTTTCGCAATCTACTCATCTGACAAAGGGCTAATATCCAGAATCTACAATGAATGCAAACAAATTTACAAGAAGAAAACAAACAACCCCATCAAAAAGTGGGCGAAGGACATGAACAGACACTTCTCAAAAGAAGACATTTATGCAGCCAAAAAGCACATGAAAAAATGCTCACCATCACTGGCCATCAGAGAAATGCAAATCAAAACCACAATGAAATACCATCTCACACCAGTTAGAATGGCAATCATTAAAAAGTCAGGAAACAACAGGTGCTGGAGAGGATGTGGAGAAATAGGAACACTTTTACACTGTTGGTGGGACTGTAAACTAGTTCAACCATTGTGGAAGTCGGTGTGGCGATTCCTCAGGGATCTAGAACTAGAAATACCATTTGACCCAGCCATCCCATTACTGGGTATGTACCCAAAGGACTATAAATCATGCTGCTATAAAGACACATGCACACGTATGTTTATTGCGGCACTATTCACAATAGCAAAGACTTGGAACCAACCCAAATGTCCAACAATGATAGACTGGATTAAGAAAATGTGGCACATATACACCATGGAATACTATGCAGCCATAAAAAATGATGAGTTCATGTCCTTTGTAGGGACATGGATGAAACTGGAAATCATCATTCTCAGTAAACTATCACAAGGACAAAAAACCAAACACCGCATGTTCTCACTCACAGGTGGGAATTGAGCAATGAGAACACATGGACACAGGAAGGGGAACATCACACTCTGGGGACTGTTGTGGGGTGGGAGGAGTGGGGAGGGATAGCATTAGGAGATATACCTAATGCTAAATGACGAGTTAATGGGTGCAGCACACCAGCATGGCACATGTATACATATGTAACTAACCTGCACATTGTGCACATGTACCCTAAAACTTAAAGTATAATAATAATAAAAAATAATAATAAAATAAAATAAATAAAATAAAACACTGTCATATTACATCACATTAAGAGTGATATAGGCTGAGGCTTTAAATATGGAGCCAAAAAAATTGCACCCTTTAAATACATTCGTTATATTGTTAATACTGGCAATAAATCTTCAAAACCTTTAAAAAAAAATCAAAGTTTGTCTTCTCTCCAACCAGAGGTAGGGGAAAGAATGAAGAAAACACATGAGAACCGGAGGAAAGAATGATTGGCATCTTATTTTCCAGGTAGCCAACCTTGATACCTGCTTTGGCAGTTTAGCCAAATGGATGAATCCAAAAATCCATCAAGGCAAGGACTTGTGCCTTTAAAACACACTAGGAAAGATCTTGGGTAGCTCTATTCAATGGAAATACAATGTGAGCCACAAATTCAAAGTACATATGTAATTTTAAATTTTCTAGTAGCTACATTCCAAAAAGTAGAAATAAAAGTGAAATTAATTTTAATAATATATTTTACTTAGTACATCCAAAATATTATTAGTTCAATGTGTAATCATTATAAAAAATTAATGAAATATTTTTTGTTTGTTTTTTTCATGCTAAGTCTTTAAAATTTGGTGTGTACTTTACACTTACTACATATCACAGTGCAGACTAACCACATATCAAGTGTGTAACAGCCACACATAACTTGCGGCTACCATACTGAACTATGGAAGCCTGGAAGGAGGTTATCT
This sequence comes from Homo sapiens, assembly GCF_000001405.40. Lineage (NCBI taxonomy): Eukaryota > Metazoa > Chordata > Mammalia > Primates > Hominidae > Homo > Homo sapiens. The sequence continues at coordinate 54,490,251 of NC_000018.10, read as the reverse complement.
TTTTCATATAGCCCTGGACTATATGCATTTGCATCTAGCTTTTTGTAATCCAGTGTTATAGCTGGAGATGTTATCTTAATCTGGCTAGGTGAGGAGAGAGAACCAAAATTTGTCAAAAGGCCACCAGAGTTCATACGGAGCAATGATTTTCTTTTTTCATTTTGATTCCTCTAAAGAATAAGGCTTTAGGCCATACCTTTAATAAAAAATGCAGCCCTAAAGCAATTTCTTCCTGAGAGCTTTCTGTCATACATTAGTTCACTTCAACGATGAAGGCAGTTTAAAAAAATGATTTAGAAGTATGTGAAGGGTTAGATTTTATCACGTATTATGCTTTGTATTTTTAGGCTTCCTTATTTAGCTTCTTCTAGTTCTATGGGAATCTACACAAGCTAAAATGTATTCTGTGGGTCACCAAACTGCTTTTTCCCAGTACCCTCATTTTAACCTAATGACCATAATTGTTTCTAATAATAAACATAATTATCCTTCATATTTATATTGGTTTTTCACACATATTATCATGTTTGAGCCTCAGAGCAATTTCATGAGATAAACCCAGTTTATGGGGGAGGGGATTGTGATTCCCATAGGGTTCTGGGGCTTAGCAAGGTCAGACAGCTTTTATAAGTGGGGAAAAAAATCACAGCTGGAATAGGTCTTGGTTCATGAAAACATGTAAACAAAGATCTTCCTGCACTGAATTTTTAGATATTTTTGGTGCTGGTTTTATTTTTTTAGAAAAGTTAATTATAACATTATTGATATATAATTGTGAGCATTAGGCTGCATGAGTGTTTGCTCATGAAATTTTCTTGGACTTAAGTAGTTTCCTACACCTATTAAGCAAATCACCATTTAAGTTTTCCGTCTCCTCAGGTTGCCAAAGGCAATGATTGGGAACTATTCAAGAGTAAGCAACCCCTAGCTTATTGTTTGGCACACAGTAAATTCAAAAAATACTTTGATGAATGAATAAACTAATGCACAAATTTGTTTCCAGCCATTTTCAATACTCATGTTGAGGCAATGAAGAAGGAACAAATCATACAATGTATTTGTCTTATTTCATTGAAGAGGAAACTTATACACAAAAATGTCACCTTGGGTCAACCCTGTCTAGTAGAAATATAATCCAAACCATATATATAATCTTAGATTTCCTAGTAACCACATTTTTAATGTAAAAATAACAGTGAAATTAATTTTAATGATGTATTTATTTATCCCAATATGTCCAAAATATTATTTTGACATGTAGAAAATGTCTTTTTTAATTACTAAAGAGATATTTTACATTCTTTCATTCATTTCAAATCCTGGACATTAGGTATGTGTTTTATACTTGCACTATATCTCAATTCAGACTGGTTACATTTCCAGTGCCTACCAGCTACATTTGGCTAGTGGCTATTTCGCTAGATGGTACAGTCTCTACAGCAGAGAGAAAAAGGACTTCAGCCCTTTTCCCATTCTTCACCATCCCACGCATGTTTATCAAGTACCCACCTTTATATGGTACTGGAGATAAAATTTGTGGGGAAAAAATCCCATGAGGCCGTAAATCACTAAACAGAGAAATTGAATATACAGATGGACAATGGCCAGACCATAAACGACAGTAGAACTCTGACCCATAACTTCTGGCAGCAAGCAACCAGCCAGAGAAGTCAAAACACAACCTCAGCAATGATTGGCCTAGACTGGTCAGGACTTTGTCAATGACTGTCAGTTTTCATAATTTTTGCCCTCTCTCCCAACTCAGGACCAACTAGAGAAAGCCAAATATAGTCCCCAAACCAACTGGAGAAGAGAAGCTGCTTCTAGGTAGCCCCTACAGCTGCTTCAAGTTGACACCTCCAGTTGGGCATCCTGAAGCCTTCCCTTTTTATCACTATAAAGCTTTCGTACTCCTCTGCCTGCCTCTTTCTCTGTGACAACTGCAAAAGATAGTGGCTGATGCTCTTGCAAGCTCTGAATAAAGAGCTTCTCTTTGTTCTCATATGTGTACTCTTCACTTGTCCCCACAAAACCGTCTTCTCATAATGACTAAAATAATCAAATGTCCTCTTAGTTTTCCCTGTGAGTTCAGTTTTTTATTTCATTTGCATCATTCATTCATGCAATGACTCTTTACTGTTTTCTATTAGGTGTCAGCCATTGTGCTAAGTCTTAGAAAGTAAGTAAAGGACCAGAGATCCTTTCTAGTCTTTCCCTCAGGGAACTCAGAGCTTAGCAAAAGCACACACAAATAAATGTTTAATAAGCTGTGCTAAACACTACAAAGGAAAAATGCACTATGAATGAAAATCTATAATGGGACTTCAACATTTTAATTTTCATAAGATGTGAATGCCAATTCTTTGCAAGAAAAACCTTCTATCCTGCTACTTACTTGAACCTCAACAAATACTTGGCAAAATGAAAAATAGAATTTTCCCAACAGACTTGCACATTGAAGATCAGATATTTTTCTTTTTCTCCCTATTTTCTTATCCCTTTTTGCTTATTTCTCTTGTTGCTTCAGTAAACATCCCCAAATGGTTTTGGCATTCCTTCGGCAAAAGATAAAAGAAAGAAGACAAAAATTTTCTATTAAATGAAATAACTATGGCTCACTCAGGGGTAGTTTAAATAATTGTTCTCTAATTTTATGTTTATTAATAGTTCCCATTTTACTCAGGCAAAGAACTGTGCCAGAGTTTGATTGCATTAAACCTGAAATATTTTCATTCCTGCTGAATTTCAGATAGTTCAAAAACCAGAAGTGTTTTCTTTTCCTTACTTGGGCACTCTGAAAAATTTTACTAAAATTAATTTTAAATCTTGGAAAAATACATTTACTCATATTTTTATTTTACACTTATTTGAAAACTACATACTTTTCAATGGTTCTTTCATTTCATGTACCTCAATCTATGTGGCTTCTCTTTGATTAAGAAAAACTCAGAGAATTAACTTGAATATTTTGTAAAATAATGCATGAAGTGTTCTGAGATCTGGAGCTCTCGTTAAAGGCATCCTGCACTTAATTTCCCTTCAGAAAGTCTTAAGCAGGTTATCTGAAAATTTACTTCAAAAATGTCTTGATTCATAATGATATGTATGCTCTTATTACCTTTTTGTTGCCAGTACCCAATACCCAGGGAGTTCTCACATCTAACTGGTCTAACATCATAAAATCTAGACTGATTCAATTAATTTGAATTGGAGGCACAGCAACATATCTATTGGCCTCACTTAATGATAGGAAGTCAAGTTTATCTTTCAAGACCATTAGTTAAATAATTTAGAGATTTTAAACATTGTATATTTTATGAAATTCTAATGTACATTATCAAATAAAATATGAAAATTCTAATAACACATTTATTTAAAAAACTTGTGAAAAATAAAAGCCTTTGAGTTCTTCAAAATGAAATAACATCAAACACCAAAATGCTATTATTCTCAAAAGGGACTCTGAATTCCTGGATAATTCCAAGCAATAACTAACTGCCAGAAGAACTAGAGTTATTGTTTATATTGTCACTTGTAAAAGAAGAGCTTTCATTCAGAGCTTGAATACAAATCAGGTACTTTTTGGTCTCTGTGAGTTTCGTAGATCATTTTATATCCTATGAAAATTAAATCAGTTTTGTAAAGCAGTATAACCCTTCAATAATGAACAAAGAAATAAAAGAGAAACAGATATTATTATAATCCCCTCTTCATTTACTGGTTCAGAGAACAATTTCCTTGCACTAGTGTAAATCATGCTTAGAAGGACAAAGGCCTCACTGCACACTGAAAAGAACATCTTTCCTGGTAGTCTGTCTGTCTGGGTCTTGCATAATGTAAGAAGGCTTTTCCTGTGCCTTATGAACAAGTAGCTGAAGCTTTGGGGTAAGAGATGATAAATGACAGACAAGAGTGTCGCTATTTATCCACTTCATGGCTGAGGAAGGAGCCACAGAGATCTGAAAGGGTCTCTGACACAGGGGTCACAGACATCCTGACATACAAATTCTCCCACAATTTCAAATATATGCTCTCTTATCTCTCACTGTTCTCACAGGAACAATTTCTTAAAGAATGACTCTTCCTGAGAGTGGGGCTCTGTGTCCCCACCCAAATTTCATCTCAAATTGTAATCCCCAGATGTTGATGGAAGGACCTGGTGGGAAGTGATTGGATCATGGGGTGGTTTTATCCCATGCTGTCCTCGTGATTGTGAGTGAGTTCTTACAAGATCTGATGGTTTTATGAGTGGCAGTTTTTCCTGTTCTCTCTTTCCTACTGCCTTGTGAAGAAGGTACTTGCTTCTTCTTTGCCTTCTGCCATGGTTGTAAGTTTTTCCTAAGGCCTCTCCAGCTATGTGGAGCTGTGAGCCAATTAAACCTCTTTTCTTTATAAATTACCCTGTCTCGGGTATTTCTTTACAGCAGTGTGAAAACAGACTAATATACTCAGTATGGAGTTTAGTTACTTCTTCCTCCAATCCACTAAATCAATCCTCACTTAATGCTATTTTCCAGACCCTTCAGTCTTTAAGTCTCTACTTACCTCATTGTTTTGTTTTCTTTTTTCTCACTACATTTCTCCTGACTACTCCTAAGGCACACTTTCTCCTCTAAATTTCTGTAGTTCTTGCTACGGCTACCTGTCATCAGACATGTAACTTATGCTGTTTTTTATTATTTTTTCTATGTTTGTTTTTCCAGTTGGTGTGTGAACAGAAACCATTGTCTTACATTTAGGTGTTAACATGCAGGTGATCAAAAATACCTGAAGCAGTAAAAGTCATCCCAACTGATGTTTCTTAAGTCCAGGAGAGGAAAAGAACTTTGCATGGGTTTACATTGTAGAATTTAGGTTATGTTGAAGTTAACTTAATTAGAAAAATGCTAAAACCTCTTAGCAGAAAGACTTATAATGAATTTAGGAAGCCCAAACTCTAATCTTCTAAACCATGCCTTGTTTATGAAGAAATAAATATATTACCTGGTGAAGCTGGTAGGTCTAAAGAACATAAAGAAACTTGGTCCTTTGGACTATTTGAAATTTTCAAGGAACATTCCAACAAGAGCAAGCCAGATCTTTTTGTTACATTTTTGCTTTTAAGCTTGTGTTGAATGTATCTTAAATAAAAGTTGTTACTCTGAGAGATTTAACAACAACAAAAAACCTATCTGAATCTCCTAAGGAAGGCGAGAAATACAAGTATGTCGCCAAATAGCATGAGGCTACACCAAAACGGACTCCCACCACTCTGTATTTCCTGTAGTTCTTCCAAATGTCTTAAGCAATTGATCAGCTCAGTCAAGTCCTACCCAGCACTCCATCACAAAAGTGCAAATTAAGACCTGGAATCCAGCAGCATTTTTTGTCATATGTCTTGGTTTAGCCAAACCTGTGAGGTTAAACAAAGAAACCTTAAAGATGAAGAGACATCACAATACTTCAAAGAGTCGAAGGATAAGTGTCCTTTATATGAATTGAAGAAGGTTTGTTTTTTATTTTTAAAGAATTCAACAATGGCTGGGTGCAGTAGCTCACACCTGTAGTCCCAGCACATTGGGAGGCTGAGGCATGTGGATCACCTGAGGTCAGGAGCTCAAGACTAGCCTGGCCAAGATGGTGAAACCCCATCTCTACTAAAAATACAGAAATTCGCCGGGCATGGTGGCAGGCACCTGTAATCCCAGCTACTCGGGAGGCTGAGGCATGAGAACTGCTTGAACCTGGGAGGCGGAGGTTGCGGTGAGCCGAGATTGCCGAAATGTCGCCACTGCACTCCAGCCTGGGTGACAGAGTGAGACTCCGTCTCAAAAAAAAAGACAAAGAAAAGAAAGAAAGAAATTCAATAATAAAAAACATAGCTGATACTAGCAGTGTTTTGAGCCATGACTCTGTCTCTTGGCATGTTGCTCTATACTAGCTGCTTTACCTCAGTGTGCTTATCTATAAAGTGGAAATACTACATAATAGTACCTCACAAAGTTGCTGCAAGAATTAACAAAGGAACTCATAACATATGCAAAGTATGCTGTATAAACTAAAAGCCATCATATACTTCTGATGCTTTAAGTCAGTCAAATAGATTTTAACTAGTAGGTAACAGTATGTTTAAAGGGCAGTCCTACTGTCATACTAGTTAATATATTCCCAAGGGCTTTCCTAGCATTTATCTCTTTTTATGTATTTCCCACCTGCTTTGGTTCACACTCTGACTCTGAATGACTCTGAGCTTCTAACACCCCATTTTGCCTCTGGCTTTGAGTATAAATTGTTCTTAGTCTCCCCAGCCCATGAAATGCTTCCCCAAGTATTTTGTCTCAGATTAGCCTTTCTGCTACCAATAGCCTTAAATAACCCTATTCTAGGGTTCAGTATCTAAATAAGGAACATGTAAATACACAATCAAAATGTAATAGGAGCCTAAGATTCTTACACTTTTAAAAAAATAAACCTTTGATTTAAAATAATTTTAGATTTGCCAAAAATGTGTAGACAGTAGAAAGATTTTCAAATATACCCTTTGCCCAATATCGATGTCCCTTAATGTTACCATCTCACATTACTGTGATACATTTGCCAAGTCTAAGAAACCAAAATTAGTGCACTACTATTAACTAAACTTTAGACTTTTTTTGGATTTCACCCATTTTTCATTAACGTCCTTTTTCTGTTCCAAGCTCAATTTCAGGATACCACACTCCATTGAGTTAATATGTCCCTTTAGTCTTCTTTTGTCTCTGACATCTTCTCAATCTTCCTTTAAAAAAAAAAATGACCTTATCATCTTTCAAGGGTCCTGGCCAGGTATTTTGTAGAATGTTCCTCAATTTGGGTTTGCCTCATGTATTTTTCTCATCATTAGATGGGGTTATGGGTTTTTGGAAAGAATATCCCACAAAGGTAAAGCAGCCTTTCTCATCACAGCATTCCAGGGGTATCTGATACCCATATGACATCATTGGGGATATTAGCCTTAAAGGTAAGGTAGTGTTTGCCAGGTTCTCCACTATAAAGTCACTTTTTCTCTCTAGTCTTTGGAAGTGTAACTCTTACATTTTTCAGAGGCAGGCAGATTTAAAATATACTCGGGGAAACTTAAGGGGCAGCAACCAAAGAAAGAAGCAGGAAGAAAACCCAGAGAAAGTGTTGTTCAAGTAGCCAAGAAAGATAAAGGCATTTTGGGAGTGAGGGCATTGGGAACAATGTCAAATGCCCCAGGAAATAAACTAAGATAATTACTGAAAAATGCCAAATGGGAGGTGGAAATGACTCCAATAAGAGGAATTTTAATTGTATGATGGAGCAAAACCAAAATGTAATGGGAAGGGGTAATCACAGAAAATGAACCTAGAGTGTAAATTACATATTCTGGAAGCTTGACCACAAATGAAGTATGTGGAACCAACCAAAGGGGGCTAGAGAGGGAGTCACAGAGTCAAAAGACGTTATTGAGGGTTCTGTGATTTGTTTTATTAATGTGGAAGAGACTTGAGAAAACTTGTAGGCTGAGAAGAGAGACAGCTGAGAAGGAGGGAAAGAGCCACAGAGGGATGGGGTTTAAAGATAAAGCAACTTTGCTTGGTAGTGTAAGTGTACATGGCAGTCACAGTATCTATCACGAGGTTAGTTTAGTCTCCATTGAGCAATATGTCTGAATTATTACTGATTAGTTTGTTGAGAATTCATAGAGATTCACTGAGATAGAGGCTACCAGCTCAGAAAACACATTCCTTTATAAAAATAAAATAGTGATATCATCTCTTAGAGGTGTCCAAATCTCCAAGAAGCTATTCTTCCAGAATTTTAGTTGACTGTTTAGATAAGTTGTTAATTTTATTTAGTAATGCTCATACCCTGGGTAAAGTTGCTTCTCTGGCCAGGAAGGCCAGAAACTTGAAAGAAATGTTTGGTTTATATTGACATTCTGTTTATCTTTAGTAAACTCCTTTGGTTCTTACGCTTTCATTTTTAACATGAGAAAGCATATCATAATATTTTCTGTGACAAATATTACTGCTTGTCAGCAACTTGAAATTAGGAAGTAAAAGTTTATTTTACTAAAGCATAATGTTTTCTTTTTAAAAAAAATTAGAATTCATTCCAATGTTCTTATTTACCCTGGGAGAAACAGAGGTTTTTGTGATGGTTGTGGTGGTGATGGTGGTTGTGGTGGTTTTTGAAGAGTTTTTGGGCAATTCCAATAAAGTAGATTTTTCAAATGCATGTTTTAAATATGAACTAAATATATAGCATGGGACAAAAAAATTTAATAAAGCATCATAAATTTAACACAATGGACAACTTTGAACAAAATTTATAAAGACATAATCTGCTACATTTGAGCAATTTTTCTTCTGAGAATTCATAGTACTTTTTATAATGGGTTAATTAGTTACTAGTGAGTGAATTAATTAATTAATTTGTTTTGGGTACATACTGTAAGGGTGAAAAAATGTGCATATTTTTATTATTTGCAGCAGCAGCAAAGCAGTAAAATCATATGGTAAGCTAGAAAGATGTTGAGGAAAGAAAAAGCTCTCCTTAAAGGCAAGTTTAAGTCTTATTCATGTTTATATTTCTAGCATTTGGTACAGTGCCTAAACTCAAAATATTTGTTCTTTGTTGTATTAATTAGTGATTAAAGAAATACACAAATATAATAATCATATGAATCAACAAATAGCAAACATGACTAGCAAAATTAGGTTGGCTAAGCATCAGTCTCATTCTCAAACTCTATGGCTATCAAATGGTCTCTAACCAAATAGTAAAGTGATCCTGAAGAAGCTAAAAGGGTATTGACAGAGAATAACTTAAAGATAGATACTTAATTGTTATCAAGCTGTTTTATTTCCAGCACAATTGAGATGGAGCTTGGAAATTTGTGGCTTTTTAACAAAAAGCTCACCAGGTGATTTCCATGATTGGGTCAGTTGGAGAGATGCTGACTAACACATCTACCCCTTCTAAAGAGAAATATTTATTCTCAGTCCCTACGGGACTTTTAAATGTCAAGATTAAGAAAGACAAGGGCAAATCTTCTGCATGGGGGAATGGTCTGTTCCACTCCAAGTGGTAAACCCTGAGATCCCTCCCTGAAACCTACTGTATGAAACTCCTCACAGCTCCAATCTCAGAGGCTGACCCACAAGCTGATTCAGTTTCCTGCGCAAGTCAGCAGCAAATCAGCCACTAAACAGTACCTACTTGCCTACAAAGAAGCTTCCAGAAGTGCAGTTTCTTTACAACCAAGAATGTAAGAAGTGTAGCCCCACCTCACCTACATGAATCTATCGTTTCCTTTCCTGCAAAGAAATTAGGCTGCTGACAGGACTGTTCTGTGTGGATGCATTCATGACTGGCTGAAAGGGTTGATGAGAGGCCAGTAATCCTCCCAACAAAACACCCTTTCACACCTCTGATGCTGCCTCCTCACCCTGCGTGCTGAGGGGCTTAGCTTCGGCTGCTCCCACTGGGCGAGTCCACCTGCAGTTGTCTCCCAGCAGCCTCCGGCTGGGCTGAGCTATGGGAAATCTGTTCTCCAATCCCAATTTCAAGGTCCTGCCATTGTGTAAGTTATCTCCAAGTCCTGTCAAATTTGAGTATCGCATGAGACATACATATAAAATCTGCTTTGGGCATCATAAGAAGGAAGAGGTCACTTCTAGCCAAGGGAATTTGGAGAAGCTATCTGGCTGCAGTGCACCTCATCTGGACATTCAAGTGAGAGGACCTGGATTTGGACATCAGAATGTTGGGAGGACACTGGGGATGGAGAGGAAAAAAAGCAGAGCAACCACAGAAAAAAGGAAAAATGATAGTGTATGGGAGGAAGGGAGTTTTGGTTATTCTTTGCTTCCCAAAATTAATTCTTAACTAGTTAGTTTTTAATGCAGTTTTATAGGCTTTAATTTTCTTTGGAAAGCCAAACTTACAAAAACTGTTTTAAAAAGAAAATGTATTAGGGAAAAAGGAATTAATTTTTATGGAATACCTTCTAAATTATTTCATTAACTCTTCAAAACAACATCAAAAAGGTATTATCCACCTCACCATCCTCCCTGTTTCACAGATGATAATAATGACGATAAGAAGTTAACTTGTCGTGACTCACACCACTTACAAACAAAATCAGAGAAGAGATTTAAACGAATTCTGTTTGTCCCTAAATCCCACATGGTATCGCCTAGACTGCCATTGCCTCTAGGATGACATAAAGGGGTCACATTGCTATTATAGAACATTTGTCAGCTGAGATCTGTGCACCTGTGGTCTGAAAATTCTCATTAGAAGAGAAAATTTAGTTTTAGCAGTATAGCATTATACATCACATCAAATTAATGGTATCAATTTGAATTTTATTGGTTTTAAAGTCTCATTGGTATTTCATTTTTTTGCAAGTTAATTTTTGTCATATCTGTTTCCTAGCTAAAACTATGAGGCATGCATATGTATTTTTATAGTTGTACATTTCAAGTAACATTATAATAAAAATATTTTTCAACATTCCAAGTTTATGAGTTTTTTTATCCATTAAAAGTTCTCCACATAAAACGTCTCCAATTCGAAGAAAGTTGTATGAACATGTTACTCAAGAATAACCATTGGTCATAACAGACTTTTCTCATGCAGATGAGTCTCTAGAACAGCAATGTGTCTGTACGATGAAAGAGCTGAGATTTTTCTATGACGTCATCTTCTTTCATTTGCACCAGAGCAGAAAACAAAGCCCAGGATGGTGTGTCCTGTGAAGCTGAAAGCTCTATACTCATGTCTGTTAAACTGAAGTCAAACTTGCTGGGGAAGAAATTCTTTTTGAAACCTATATCATTTTTACATTTCAAAATTTTACAGATACTAAAAGGCCCTGGATTTTTTCGAGTTTTTCCTCCTAAGTAAAGAAGTAGGTGTATCTTATGTATCCTCTGATCCCAGAAATATTTTAAATGTAAGACACTTTAATCACTTTAGTTATCTGAGTGATGTTCTTCCAATACATATTTCACATTTCTATGACACATTTCACAATGCACATATGTATCTTAAATATCTGTAATTTATGTATCCCCTTTTCTTCTTGTTCTCATTCCCATTTCCAACTCGTTTCTCCTATCGTGAAGTTAAATATTTGAGAGATAATTCCCTCCTTTTAAAGAAGAAGGAGAAATCTTACATCCTGTCTGGCAAGTTTTCAAAAGTAAAAAATTGAAAAAGCCATTGACTGCTGCACCCTTCTCCACACTGGATGACTTAATTTACTTTTATTAACTTTAACTTTTGACTTCAATTAACTTTAATTACTCAGAGGGTATTAAAGTGAAAATATGCTTTATGTTCATTATTCCAGCCTTAAACCCCGTGCCTTTTGAACTGGATGACGGACACATCATCCTGCAGTCAACACCTAATGGAAGAAAGTTCCAGGCAACCCATCCCTATTTATGACCAAAGACATGTACCCTCTTGCCTCATTTTTGCTTTATGCCTTTTCTTCAGGCTACTGAACTCTGGAAAATCTCCCATATCTGCCCCCATCACCATACTGACCCTCATTTGATGACCATCAAATCTAGTATCTAGTTTTGATCCTGGGTGCCTTCTTCAGACATGGTTTTGTCCTTGTTTTTGGCTCCATCCTCTTCTGCTTGTTGTAGATGACCAATACTGAAAATACTGCCCAAGTCCTTGTTCTGGAAACTACACCCAACCACGTGGCACTGGCAGGAGCACCAGCCTTGCTTGCATGGTTTCCCTGGATAGAAGATTATAAATATCCAAACTTATAAATTAAAAATAAAGTTTCAAATATCAGTCAGCATAAAATAACACCTTAATATTTGATAGGGTAGGGAATAGAAGAATATATATAGGACAAAACTATCCCAGGCGGTCATCTTCATATCAGTAAATCTGAACATAAAAGAATGAAGAAAAGGCCGGGCATGGTGGCTCACGCCTGTAATTCCAGCACTTTGGGACGCCGAGGCGGGCGCATCACCTGAGGTTGGGAATTCGAGACCAGCCTGACCAACATGGAGAAATCCTGTCTGTATTAAAAATACAATGGTGGTGCATGCCTGTAATACAGTGGTGGTGCATGCCTGTAATCCCAGCTACTTAGGAGGCTGAGGCAGGAGAATCGCTTGAACCTCGGAGGTGGAGGTTGTGATGAGCCCAGATCGCACCATTGCACTCCAACCTGGGCAACAAGAGCGAAACTCCATCTCAAAAAAAAAAAAAAAAAAAAAAAAAAAAAAGAATGAAGAACATTGCTTCTCTGGGAAAGGGACATCTGCCGCCACTTCCACTGGTCCCACATAAAGACACTCCCATTCAGAACAAGAACTCAGAGGGACTTAACTGCTTCATTCGCTACTGTATTCCACGGCACCAAGGGACAAGTTTTCTCTGAAGCTAAGTAATTTTTATACATGTGTCAAAACGACCATTTTTTAACAGCTTTATTGAGATATAATTGACACACAACAAATTGCAACATTTAAAGTGTACAGTTTATATGCAATGGTGAAACCATCATCAATACTAAGAAAATGAACATATCCCTCCTCTCCTAGAATTTCCTTGAGCCTTTTTCTAATACCTCCCTCCTGCTCCTCCCCACCACTGCCCATCCCCAAGCAACCACTGATCTGCTTGCTGTTGCTATAGATAAGTTTGCATTTTCTAGAATATTATATAAATAGTTACACAGTACATAGATTTGTAAACTGGCTTTTTTCATTTAGTATAATTAAGATTTATTCATGTCATCACATGTATCCAAAGTTAATTCCTTTTTATTGCTGAGTAGATTTAATTGTATGGATATACTATAATTATTTATCCATGTGTTGATGGACATTTGGAGTTGTTTCCAGTGTTTGGCTATTACACATAGAGCTGCTATGAATATTTGTGTACAAATCTTTATATAGACCTATGCTTTCATTTATCTTGGGTAACTACCTAGGAGTAGAATGACTGGGTCATATGGTTAAGGGTATTTTTAACTTTCAAAACCTGCCAAACTGTTTTCCAAAGATGTTGTACCATTTTTTACATTCCCCAAAGCAGTGTGCTTACTCTACATCCTTGTCAACAGTTGGAATGGTAGATGTTTTCAATTTTATACATTCTAATTAGTGCAAAGTAGTATTTCACTGTGATTTTGTTTTGTTTTTCTCTAATGACTAAATATGATGAGCATATGTTTATTTGCCATCAAATTTTTCCTTGATGAAGTATGTCTGTCTTTTCCTCATATTTTAATTGAATATTGAGTTTTGGGGATTCTTTGTATGTTCTGGATATAAGTCCTTTATATATGATTTGCAAATATTTGCTCCCATACGGAGGCTTCTCTTTCATTCTCTTAGCTGTGGTTTTTAAAGAGCAGAACATCTTAATTTGAACAATGTCCAATTTATCAATTTGGTTTCTTTATATACCATACTTCTGGCATCATATCTAATAAATCTTTGTATAATCCTAGGTCTCAAAATATTTTCTCCTATGTCATCTTCTAGAAGTTTACAGTTATATGTTTTCAATTTAGGTCTGTGGTCATTTTGAGTTAATTTTTGCATATAGTGCAAGGTATTACTTCAAGTTTAGATTTTGTTTTTGCATTTGTTAAAGTCGTTTCTTTTTCCACTGAATAGACTTTACCTATTTTTGAAAATTAAAGTGACTATATATAAGTAGTTCTACTTCTCAATTATTCATTTTGTCCTATTTATCTATTTGACTTGACACCAATACCACATTAACTTTATTCTTGTAGCTTTATAATAAGCCTTGAAGTCAGACAGTATAAGTCCTCCAATGTGTTCCACTTTTTAAAAATTATTTGTGCTACTATATGTACTTTGCATTTTCATATAAATATTAGAACAAGATTTTCAATTTCTATAAAAAGTTAATGAAATTTTGATTGAGGTTCCATTGAATCTATAGACCCATTTGGGGTGAATTGATATCTTTAAAATATTGAGTCTTCCAATCCATAAAGGTGACATGTGTTGCCATTAAATTAGATTTTTAATTTCTTGCATTCACATTTTGAATTTTTAGTGTAGGAATGCTTTATATTTTCGTGCCTTTATGAATGGTTTTGTTTTTAATCTCAATCTATTATTTATTGCTATTTGTATTAGTTTCTTGTTGCCACTATAATTACCACAAATTTAGTGGCTTAAAGCAATAGAAATGTATTCTTTTACAGTTCTTAAAGTAAGAAATCTAAAATTCATCAGCAAACCTGCATTCCTCCTCGAGGAATCCATTTCTTTGGCTTTCCCAGCTTCTAGAAATTTCCTGCATTCCTTGGCTTGTGCCAACACATCTCTCCAACCTCTGCGTCAGTTACCACATCTTTTTCTCTAACTCTTACTCTCTCTTATAAGGACCATTGTGGTTACATTAGCCCCATATCTGGATAAACCAAGATAATCTCCCCATCTCAAAATCCTTCACTTGGTAATATCTTCAAATCTCTTTTGCCATGGAAGGGAACATATTCACAGGTTCAGGGATTAGGTAATGAACATCTTGGGAAAGGGCCGTGTTATTCAATGTACCACACTAGTACATAAAAATATGATTATTGAATATTTTATATTCTGCAACCTTACTAAACTCACTTAATAATTCTAGTATCTTCTTTGTAGATTCCATAGTATTTTCTACATACATGATTATTTCATTTGTAAAAAAGACAATTTTATATAAAGACAGTTTTCCAATCTGTATGCCTTTTATTTCACTTTCATGTCTTATTGCACTCATTTGGACTTCCAGTATGATGTTTAGAAACACTGGTGAGAAAAAAATACTTGCCTTGTTCCAAATGTTAGGGACACACTTTATTATTCCATCTTTCATTATTAAATATGATGTTAGCCAGAGGTCATTTTATACACACACTTTGTGAGATCAAGGAAGTTCCTTCTAGTCTGCAGTTTGCTGAGAGATTTTTTCATGAATGAATGTCAAATTTTATTAAATGCTTTTTCTACATATATTGAGATGATCATACGGTTGTTTTTCTTTCATCCATTGATAAAGTGAAGTACATTGATTGATCTTCAAATCTCGAAAAAATTGATTTTCAAATGAACCTTGCATTCCTGAAATAAACCCTACTTAGTTAAGATATATTATCCTTTAATAGTTTTTAGATTTTATTTACTAAAATTTTGTTAAGAATTTTTAAATCTATATTCATGAGTCATATTAGGCTGCAGTTTTCTTCTCTTACAATGTCCTTTTCTAGGTTTGGAACCAGGGTAATGCTGACCTTATAGAATGAGTGGGGAAATGTTCACTCCTCTTTATTTGGGGAATTATTTTGTAGAGAGTTGGTATTAGTTTTTAGAACTCACCATTGAAGCCATCTGGGCCTGAATTTTTTTTTATAGGAATATGTTTAACTGCAAATTCATCTTCTTTAATAGATGCAGGGCTATTTGGGTTATATATTTATTCTTGAGTGAAGTTTGGTAGTTTGTCTTTTAAGAAACTTGTCAGTTTCATCTTTGTTTTTGAATGAATTGGCATAAAGTTGTTCATACAATTCTGATTATCATTTTAACATCTGAGAAATCTCTACTCATATCACTTCTCTCATTATTGATATTGATAGTTTGTCTTTATCTTTTTTTCATGTATAGTCTGACTAGAGGTTTACCCACTTTATTGATCCTCTCTAAGAATCTGGTTTTGTTTCACTGATTTCCTCTAATTTTTGTTTCTATTTTATTGATCTCTCAGGTCTTCATTATTTTCTTTCTTCAGCTTACCTTGAATTTTATTTGTTCTTCTTTTTGTAGTTTCTAAAGATGGAAGCTAAGGTCATTAATTTGAGATCATTCTTTTTTTCCAAAGGAGAAATTTAGTTCCATAAATTTCCCTCTAATTACTGCTTTTGATATATCCCACAAATTTTGGTATCTTGTTTGTTCATTTTCACTCAGTTGAAAATATTTTATAATTTCTTGCTGATTTCTTTTTTGACCCATCTGTTACTTAGTTTCCAAATATTTGAAGGTTTGCTAAAGACATTTATGTTGTTGATTTCTAATTAAATCCCATTCTGGTCAGAGAAGATACTTTGTATGATTTTTATCACTTTATATATTGAGACTTGTTTTATGGCTCAGAATATTATCCATCTTCATAAATTAGACAAATATCCTTGAAAAGAATATTCTGCTATTGTTAGACGGAATGTTCTATAAACATCAATTATGTCAAGTTGATTGATAATGGTAAGTCTTCTCTATCCTTACTTTCTATATCCCTATCTTCCGCCTACTTGTTCTATCACTTATCAAGTTTGAATATTGAAATCTCTTACTATAATTTTGGATTTGTCTATTTCTTCTATCAGGTTTTGCTTCATATATTTTAAAGCTCTGTTATTACCTGCATAAATATTTGGGATTGTTATGTTCTATTGATGAATTGACCCTATCATTGTGGAATAGTCTTCTTTATCCTTGATAATGTTCTTTGTTCTGAAGTTCTACCTTGCTTGATGTTAATATAGCCACATCAGCTTTATTTCAACTAGTATTATCATGCTATATCTTTTCCATGCTTTTACTCTTAACCTATTTTTTGTATATTTGAAATCAATTTGTTATAGACAGCATATAAATTTGGTCATTAATATTATTTTTCATCATCATTAATATATTGTTCCAAAAAGCCTTAATCTTGGCTTCTTTGGAGGACAATTTTTTTCATTTCCAAAGCTTTCTAAGCATTTTTAAATGTTTGAGGGAAATTACCTTCAGGGAATGTAAAAAATTAAATAATATACTGATATCTTTGCTATTTAGAGATCTAATTGATATTTTTATGTAAATATTATATCACTTCAAAAATGGAGAACACTTACTCTACTTTTTGTGAAGTTACTAAGTAAGACCACATTATGGGGGCTGTCCATTTTCTGAGTTTTCCTAGTGCAACTTTTTAGCCCCCCACCCCCACATTTACCTTTAAGAAGTGCTGGCCAGAGTGGTGGCTCACCCCTGTGATCCCAGCACATTGGGAGGCCAAGGTAGGAGGATCATTTGAGCCCAAGAGCTTGAGACCAGCCTGGGCAACACAGAGAGACCTCCTCTGTACAAAAAAATTAAAAAAACATTAGCTGGGCATACTGGTATGTTCCTGTAGTCCCAGCTACTTAGGGAGCTGAGGTGGGAGTATCGCTTGAGCTGGAAGGTCGAGGCTGCAGTGAGCCATGATTGTGCCACTGCACTCCAGACTGGGTGACAGAGCAAGACCCTGTCTCAAAAATAAATAAAAAACAAGCAAAAAAAGAAGTGCCTGTTGGCTTTCTTTGCCTAGAGAACATGTCCATTTACCCAATCAGTAGGCTCACAATGTATGTCAGTGTTCTAAATGAGGACAAGTGGAAATTCCTGTAACAAAAATTTCAGATGCATGCCTGCCGATGATGGGTCAGAGTGTCACCTTTATTAATAATCATTAAAATAATAATTCACATTTGTGGATTGCTTACCATGCACCAGGGCTTTTGCTGTTGGAGTCTTAGAAGCATTGTCACATTTAATCCTCACAACAACCTGAAATGTAGGGGCTATGATTATCCTCATCCTGCTTCAGTGGAAATAGAAGCTTAGAGGAGTTGATAAACTGGTCCAAGTCATTGTACACATAAAACAAATAAAATGAAGGAATAATAGGCCCCAAAGAAAGAAGCCAACTAGCCTTTCAGACAAGAACACAAATGCAGCAACAGTCAGATGAATATCAACATTAATTTGAAAGTCAAAAAGGAAATTATAGGAATCTCCACACAGACCAGTTCCACTATCATTAGACCTTCTAGAGGAAATTGCTCTCCAAGAATTCTTAGCTACATTCCTCTTCCTACAGAATTCATCTATTTCTTCTTCACGTAGAAGACAGAAAATAAGAAATCATTCTTTACCCAAATGTCTTTTGCTTTTTATAAAAGAAGTTATTTTCTTCTGATTTCAATCTTTTCAACTTTAATGATCAATCCAATTTTCTAATTTCTCTCTCTCTTCCAAAATTTGTTTAAATATATGTATCTTCAGATATTTTACAACATTAATAAGGGGATTTTACAGTAGGAAAAATCACCTGACTTCTTTAGGTGACCTAAATTTGACAAATTCAAAATTTGGGAACTCACTTTTTTGACAACAGGACTGTATAGACTTTTGAGTTAATGAATAACTCTAGTGCAAGAAAGCTGCCCATGTGCTCAAAAAGAATAAAGGAAAGGTGAGTTTCATTCCAGGAGCACTTACAACATAGTTGGGGTTCTGCAAATCTCTGTATCTTTTTGCTTTTATATAAACTTTATAGGTGGTAAAATGCAAATGAATTCCTGCATACAGGAAACATCATATGTAAGTGTAGCACAGAGTGTAAAATGAGCACTGAAGACCTGGGAGGAGATCCAGAAATTTGTTTTTTTATTTTTCACAAAGTGCACATCATAGTGACTCATCTCCATCGTAGCTATCCGTACTCTCTAAAACTCAGGGAAGAGCACCTTTTGACAATTACAGGTTAAGAAGGTTACGTCCTCCTAAGCTACATTCTTATTATCGCATGCCTTCTTGATCCCACTTAGCCCATTCCCATGATTAATTTCAAAGATCATTGACTAACTCATCAGCCTCATTAACCATTACTTCGGTCCAAGATCTATCTCTAAGGAGAACTGACAGGCAGCGCTGGACTTGTCTTTATCAAAGCATTCATCACACCATGGAAGAATGACCCATCCACTTGTCTCACTCACGGAACACTCCCCTGTGGCTGGGACAATGTCTTGTTCACTTTCTGTTTCCTAAAACTAGCAGCACAGCACTAGTGCCTGGGAAATAGGAAGTACTCAGTAAACGTTCTGAATGAGAGAATAAATTCTGCTGGAAAACACATACAAGCATGTCATAGTATGAACTCCCCGACCCCCACCATGTAGTTATAAGACGCTGGAGTTGGGGGAGAACAGTGTTTCCAAATTTTTATTCTAGACATTTTATTTGCTGAGCACTATATTTAAATTTAGCCCTAAATTATGAGTATAAATTAGTACAATTGGTAAAAGAAGTGATCTTAGTATGTTTTTCTGTTTCAAAAAGTCACTAATTTCACATTTCATGTCCATAATTGAGCTCTACAAAGTATATCTAATTTGAACTCTGAATACGCCAATGAGTGATACATAGAGATTGCTACCATATGGGCCCTTAATTCCATCAGTTTCATCTTACAGCTTAAAGAGAAAACAAAACAAACAAGCATGTGCACCTTTGTTTACAATGAAAACACATGAACAGGACGGAAGAGAGATTTATTAAACAATACAAACTTATAGCCAGATAGAAGAAACAAGTTCCAGTGCTCTATATCACTGTAGGATGACTACAGATCGCAATAATGTACAAATAGCTTGAAGGAAGCTATTGAACTTTCCTGACACAAAGAAATGATGAATGTTTGAGACCCTGATATACTAATTACCCTGATCTGATCACTACACATTATATGTATCAAAACATCACTATGTATCCTATGAATATGGACAATTATTAATTGTCAAGTAAAAGAGTAAAATTTTTAAAAATTTTAAAAAGAAAAAAGAAAATAGCATTTGTGGTAAACCACAAATGTTTTTAAGTGTTTGGCAACAACCTGGATTTTGCATTCTTACTAGGGTTATGCATAAAACAATTATTTTGGGGGTATTTGATTTTGGTTTTCATGTTTTTAATTTCTGTCCTTCTTCCTGACTTTAAGGAAGTATAGCTGAGAGTGACATACTCAAGAAGAGCAGAGGATGTGGTAAGGCAAGAGATTGGCAATAACAAAACCATTCTGGAGAACAATGGTAAGCAGGCACCACCCACTGTGGATATTTAGGGACCATATCATGGAGCAACTGTTAAAGTTTTTGGACTATTATACCTAGATAACCCTGTAAAATGACAAGCAAAATTAAAAGGCTCTTTGAAAGGGTATTGGAACTTTCCTTAAGCCCACCATAAAAATTGCAGATACAGCTGCATTTGTCAAATCTGTCCCATATTAACTTATTGGTGAGCTGAGCAGTTTTCCTTGTACAAATAAATTTTATAGCTTGTTTCATATGAATTTTTTTTAGAAAGGAGTAACTTCCTAAATTTATCTATCTCATAAGGCCCTTTGCTGCGGAGATGGGCATGCCTCTTAAATTCTCTCATCTTCTTTGTCAGTTCTAATGATGTGTCTAGACATGCATAAGGAAGTTAAAAATTGAAGCAATCAACTACATAATTTGGACAAAAATCACATACAGCTGAAATATTGAGTTGATTGGATAAAATGAAATAAACTGCCCACAAGTCTTCACTTTTCACTGCCTGCTCAGACAGAATTCTTGCCTGGGATGCAGTAACAGGGCTCAAAATTGGCAAAAGTCTATGTAATCCATGGAAATTGCTGATAATCAGTTCAGCCTCACCACAGAAATAGAGATCACTAGTTATCACAAATAAACACCTGCTCTCCCTGGTCACAATTCCTCGACCAGATCCTAAGTGTGCATGTACAGTACTTTCAAATAACTGGATGGAAATTGGCATTCCAGCCAAATATGCAGATTTGATGAACGTGCAGATATGGCATCTGATATGTCGATTTTCAGATTCTCTATATATTTACAAAATGTCTTTTAACTAAACCTTCTTCTACAAATATAAAAGCAAAACTGGAACATTTAGGCATTGAGTGGGGTTGACTGGGAGACACGAAGGAAAGAAGGTTCTAGGAACCCTACAGATAAGTTATCTCACATAATCTTCAAAAAAAATCTTCCAACAATTTACTCTGTTCAACAAAAAGTGATTGAGTGCCCCTATAAGAACACAATCTGCCGGACGCGGTGGCTTATGCCTGTAATCCCAGCACTTTGGGAGGCTGAGGTGGGCGGATCATGAGGTCAGGAGATCAAGACCATCCTGGCTAACACCGTGAAAGCCCATCTCTACTAAAAATACAAAAAATTAGCCAGGCACGGTGGGGGGTGCCTGTAGTCCCAGCTACTCGGGAAGCTGAAGCAGGAGAATGAACCCAAGAGGCAGAGCTTGCAGTGAGCCGAGATCGTGCCACTGCACTCCAGCCTGGGCGACAGAGCAAGACTCCGTCTCAAAAAAAAAAAAAAAAGAAAAAGAACACAATCTAACTTAAAAAAAGATATTACTTCTGCTCTCAAAGGGCTTACAGGGACTTGACAGCAAATAATCATCACTGAGCTCTGGGCTCTGATGGAAAAGACTGTAATTCTGTAAGAGTAGATGACAAAGGAAGGTGGCCTAGACCAGGAATCCCTCATTTCAGAGATGAGGCCACAGAAGCTCAGAGAGGTTATGGGACTTGATCAAAGTCACACAGCCAAGAAGGAATGGAGGTAGGATTCCTTCACAATCCTTGCTGGCCCCAGAGCCCTTTCTCTCTTTTTCTATTTTTTGTGTGTGGCGGGGGTGGGGGTACTGCTTATTAAGATGACTGCTTGAGAGATGAGAGGCAGTTACAAAACTGGGAGGATTCCTTGCAGTGGATTGTACCTCCTTTTCTTTCAGCCCATTCAGTTTAATATTTCCTGAAGAGATCTATTCACTTCTGAAGAAAAGGTTTCCAAATGCTCACAGGATTGGTTAACTATGCTTTTGTTTCTACATTGTACCTCTCTGACTCCATGCTGGGACTTGATGTGGGTAGCTGAGTTGGTCCATTAATTCTTGGTTGGTCATTATCTTTCACTCTTGTATGTTACAAATTCCATTCAAAAGATAGTGATAAAATACTCCTGAGATGCAAAGCAACCACAGGTCTTATAGTAAGAACATGGCTACCCATCTTTTAGGTCTAGAAATTAATGTTAGGTGGATTCCACACTTACTATGCTAGTATTCGGGGTGGCACATATTAACCAAGTTTTTCATATCTTGATACGTCACCATCAGAGTGATCAACTCATCCTACTTTTCCCAGTACTTTCCTGATTTTAAAACTAGAAGTCTAGCATTCTTAGAAATTCCTCAGGCCCAGGCAAACAAGGATGGTTTGTCAACCTAGTCAGTGTGCTACTCAGAGATCAGAGACCTATAGGATGACCATAATTTTGGAAACACAAATAGACATAACAAACAGATTGGTGACATTACATTAAAATACATGGGTGTTCAATGACATTACATGAAAGTTCAATGTGTTGTTTCTCATTATCAATGCATATTTCCCTATGCTGGGCAAAATGACAATGAATGTAATGCATTAATGCAGCATTACCATCAATCCCTGTACATGCATCTGCAATGTGTTGCCTCAGATGATTTGTGTCTTTGGTGTTCACTACATAAACCTATGCCTTTAGCCTACCCTGGAAGAAATAACCAAGGGCTTCATATCTTGGAAGTAGGCATCTCACTCCACACAGCCACATCGTTCAATAAGTTTTGTTTAACATCATCCCACCACGTGTGGGATGGTGTGATGGGGGGTCATGCACCACCCTACAGGCCCTACTTCACGAGACCTCCCCCAGCCTGTCAAGTGCAATCAGCATTTGGTGTCTTGTTTTTTGTTTGTTTGTTTGTTTGTTTGTTTTGAGACAGAATCTCACTCTATTGCCTAGGTTGGAGTACAGTGGCATAATCACGGCTCACTGCAACCTCTGCCTCCCAGGCTCAAGTGATCCTCCTGACTCAGCCTCTTGAGTAACTGGGACTACAGGTGCACACCACCATACCTGGCTAATATTTGTAATTTTTGGAGGGATGAGGTCTCACTATGTTGCTCAGACTGGTCTTGAACTCCTGGGCTCAACCAATCCACCTGTGTTGGCCTCCCAAAGTGCTGGGATTATAGGCATGAGCCACTGTGCCCAGCCTACATTTCGCATCTTGACTAAGTCAAATAAGGTGTGTTTCTAGACTTTATAGCCACACTGTGCTAAAACACCTCTCTGCCTTCCTAGGTAGTATGTATAGTAGCTTTTGTTTATTTTTGTTTTCATAGAGGATGACCAAATTAACAGGTAAAGACTTCTGTTTACTTGTGTTTATATTTTCTTAGAAATAAAGTTAAGGAGTCAAAACTGATGTACATTTAGCTCCACTTTTTCCACTGAGTTTATTCTTACCAATCCAAGAAGTTGCGAAATGTTGAGTACCAAAATCAAATTGTTATAATAATAGATATGCAAAACCTTAAAACATTGAGACGCATATTGTCAGTTTCTTTTACAGCAAAACAATTGCAATTATGGCATGAGAAACTATACATGATGAAAGGGCAGTTCTATATGTAGTCATGCTACAGTCACCATCTGGGTCAGTATCTAGTCTCCAGTGGGCACAATTTCCAGGTTCAATTTATGTGTTATGTTACGTGCAAACTTCAGCTTTTTAGAACCTTAGCATACCTGTAAGGTGAGCAACAGAAATGACATGCAATTAACCAAGAACAGGTTATGGATAAAAGTAAATAATTATTCCAGGGTGTTACAGGAAACAACCCACGGCCTGAAAAACATGTTTAGTCATGATTGTTATAAGGGATTATTTTTCTCTCTTTCTTACAAAAAAGAGGTGAAGTGTAACTTTTTGTCAATAATATGCTGTTATTTTCTCAGTGTTGTCACTTTAGATATTTGAAATAAGCAAAAACCAATAGTTAACAATTCTTGCCATTTTCACTTCCAGTTTCATCAAACAGAGTGAAAGCTAGTCAAGCCAGCATCATCTTAGAAGGAAGAACTAGCCTGCTTTGTTGCACATGTTACTCTGTTTGCCCCATTCAGTCATTGAAAGTCCTTTGAGGGTTCATGTTCTGCACAATTCTAGGCTAGCACAGGTATATATCATTGATCTTATTATTTTTAACAGCTACTAATTATGGAATATTGGTACCAGGCTCTGTCTTAGGCTGTCTGCATAAATTATTATAAATCCTTACAACAATGAATGGCAAAAATTATTTTCTAAGATTTTACAAATAGGGATAGAGCCTCAGAGGGGCTAAGTAACTCTGCAAAGATCACCCAATAGGAGCAGTGGCAGCAGAATCAGGTATGAGTGTGTGGGATTCTCTATAACATGCCCATGTATATAGTACACTGCTTTCAAGTGTTACAACATGGCATAAATTAATATTTTAGTCACAGTAAAACTTTCTCTTCTCTCAGAATTCTCTTTAGAAAATGGCAATGTTCTTAATTTTGTTTTGTCCTGTAAATGGGGCATAAACATTATCCAGACTATTTTTACTGTGATATTTTTAATATTATAAACATTCAACTCTAGAATAAAAAATTTTTTGCGTATTGTTGGCATCTAGATCAATTTTATTTCCAAGACATAAGTATTCTACATTTTGTTTGAAGTATCCTAATGTCTATGAAACATGTCAGTAGTTGGAGGCCTTGCAGCATTATTTCTTGTTATTGTTGTTGCTAGGGACAGGAGGCAGGAAAATTCTGGACAGAAGAGGGCAGGTCCCGAGGGAGGGCCCCACCCTCAAGTCTGGAACTGCAGCCCATAGTGAGAACTTATATCTCTCTTTTCCCACTTGAATGTTGTGTTTTCCAAAACCACCCATAGCCTGCCCTGCCCTCTATCTTGTGCTGCCCATAAAAACCCCAGGCTCAGCAAGCAGAGAGAGAGAGAAACAGCTGGATGTTGGAGACTATGATTGGGCATCAGAGAGAAGGGGTTTGACATCAGAAGGATGGCTTGAAAGCATAGCTTCAAAGAGGAGTCTGGCCACAGGGCCCGCACGGAGGTTTGCTCCTGCTGGCAGTGCCCAAAAGCACTTGTTCCAGCTCCTGTACCCACTAACCTGCATGCTCCCCTTCCTGCAAGGGGTGAGGCACAGCAGGTCCAAAGCTGTTGGGTAGTTCCAGTGCCCCTGCACTCCAGTTCCTGCCCATGAAGGGGTCAGGGAACTATCTTGCTTTATTGTGTTTTAATTATGTTCTCCTCCCTCCAAAAACCAATTTGAACAGAACGGAATATTAAAACCTATGTAAAATAAGACAGCTAATTTTTTACAATTATAAAATGACTAGAAATAGATGTGTTAAGTATCCAAAATAAGATAATTATTGAAGTTAGGCACAAAATTTAGTTCTGAGTTTCTATCAGTTGTATTAAATATGTAAATATGTGTGAGCATATAATTCTTGTTTTTTGTTGTATTGAAAAACAAACAAATTTCTTAGAATAGTCAATTATTTGTCTGGCAATAAATCTTAAAAGGAATTTTTTAAGATTACAATAGCTACCATTTAGTGAGTATCCACTCAGCTAGGCTCTGGGCTTGGTAGTATATATACATATATATATATTTATATATGTATATATGTATATATATTTATATATGTATATATGTATATATATTTATATACTTATATATGTATATATGTTTATATATTTATATATTTATACATTTATATATATTTATATATAAATATATATGTATATTTATATATAAATATATATAAATTTATATATAAATATATTATATATATTTATATATAATCTCCTAAGAAATACAACCATTAAATACTAAATCTTATTTAGGATCTAGTATTCAGTAGCACAACAGAGTGACTACAGTTAATATAAATTTACTGCATATTTTATAGTAACTAAAAGAGTAGAAATGGAGTGTTTGTAACACAAATGATAAGTGCTTCAGGTGATGGACACCCCAATTACCCTAATTTGATCATTACACACTGTATGCTTGTACAAAACATCACATGTACCCCATAAATATGTACCACTACTATGTATCCATAATAATTAACAATAAAACAGAAATACAAAAATAATATTAATCCTTCCAATATGCCTATGGAATATAATTTTTTAAAATATCTTTGACCACAGTTTTGTAATTATTCTGATTCATTCTTCAAATGAATATTTTTATCTGCCTTCTATAAAAGTAGAAGACAAAACATTAACTATTAATGCAGGAAGAACATTTCTGAGAATTGAGATAAAATAAAAGAATATATGGCCTGGCATATTTTGACTTCTGAGGAGCTGGCTTACTGAAGGGATAGAATGAAAGAAATGAGAGAAAGAAAGGAAATTCTTTCACCAGCTCTCAGAAATATCAAATACCTTAAGTAAGCATTTAGCGTGTGCAAGACTGCAGTCACTTTGTAGCTGAATCCCCTAACATGTTCCTGTGTCATGGTGTTCTTTGTTGCCCAAAAATCCCTCATATGCAAAAAGCAGTGTTAGAATTCTGTAGTCTTGCTAAAAATTCTTATATATAGAATCTGTCATCCTGTCTTTGTTTTAAATATGCTAAATGCATATTTTGTAACTTGGAATAGGTAACATTCACTTTAGAAGTTGCAGATATATACTGTTTTTTAAAATGGGAAATATGATTATTTAGGACTTTGGGTAGACTGTGGAAATTTGCCTTGCTATTGTATATTCCCCTTCAAAACATTCTGTTTTCATTATTTGAGGTAAGCAATGCCTACTTTCTGTAATTCTTTATTTCTTTGTACTTTTTTAATGAAATGAATCAACCACTAATAAATAGTAGTAAATAAGGCATTTTCACTTTTTTATTTTATGTATTATAACATTTTTAATGTATGGACCCACCCAATTCAGGCATCTGCCACAATACTTACGTAAAATGGCATAGTATTTGCATATCACCTATGCACATTCTCCAATATACTTTAAATGATCTCTAGATTACTTATAATATCTAATACAATCTAAATGCTATATAAATAGTTGTGATACTCTTTTTATTTGTATTACTTTTTATTGTTGTATTGTTAGTTTTTACTGTTTTTCTCAAATATTTTCAATTTGTGCTTGGTGGAATCTGCAATGCAGAGCTCATGGATGTGCATAGCCAACTATATGTGTGTGTGTATATATATATACACACACACACACACTTTCTCTCTCTCTATATATATATATACACACACACACACATGCATCACACAAACACACACACGATATACACACACAATATACACACATGTATCCTATTGATTCTGTTTTTCTGGAGAACTCTGACTGATACAGAGGCTTTAAATAGCAGACCAAGTAGCAGAGCCTTTCTCCTGTAGGTAATAGAGAGACTTCAAAGATTTCCAAGAACAGAAGTGACTTCACTAGGGCTATGCTGAGCTGTGGGAATCTGAAAGTGGAGTACAGTATAGTTTAGAAAGGACAGGCCAGAAACAGGATGACCAACTAGGAATCTACTACAAGAGCCTAGTGTGGCAGCATTGAGAAAGGAAAGAGAGGGATAGATGGAAATTTTCAGAAATGGAATCAATAGAACTTGATGACTGGTTAGAGGTGGAATATGAGCAAGGGTGTGGGAGGAGTAGGTAAGAACAGGTTTGAGGTCAGGGATCTAGAAAAATGATGATGGCCTTATGAGAATAAGAATGCCAATCAAATGAACTGATTTATGGGAAGATGTTTGTGAGTTCAGACTGGAAATATTAAATTTGATTTGCTAGTGGGACATGTAGGTCAATTAGACCATTGAAAAAATGAGACTAGCATTAGAATACAAACAAGCATAAACATTTATTGAGAAATTACTATATACTATGTTCAGTGCCTAGAACTTTACAGGCCTTATCCAATGTAATCTTCCCAAGTATTCTATAAAAAGAAACTTTTCATTGTACAGATATCCCTGTTGTACAAAGAAAACTAAAGCATAGGGAGTTAAGACTCTTAGCAGAGTGCATGCACAGTGAGTCAGGGGAACAAGAAGAAGGCCAGTGTGGCTGGAAGGCTGTGAGCAAGAGATGAGAGGAGTAGAAAGAGAGCTGGGTCAGAGACGGCCTCTGTAAAAGTGTTTGTATCAATTTGAAGGGTGATGACAAGTCACTCAGGGAATAGGGGACTCATTTTTAAAGTGACTTAATGTTACAGAAGAATCACTGTGGCTGCTGTATGAGAATAGACTTAAGGGGCAAAAGTGGAAGCAGGATGGCAAGGTAGGAGGCTCTTGTGGTAACCCAGGGCGGAGAAGATGACGCTTTGGACCAGGGTAGAGGAGACAGGATTGGACTGGGTGGAAATTAGAGTCTCAAAGCTTAATTTAAGAACTCAGTATGGAATAGTAGAGAGGGAAAAAACAAGCATGACTCCAAGGTCTCTGGACTCAGCCAGTGAAGGCTTAGCAGTACCATTTATCAATATGGGGAACACAGCCCTGAGCGGGAACCTGTAAGAGCAAGGGTGAGGGAGGAGTAGGTAAGAACAGGTTTGAGTCAGGGATCTAGAAAAATGGCGATGGCCTTACCATCACCACAAGTGATGGTGATGGACATGTAGAGGTTATCATCATAATTTAGTTGTAATAATGATATCCCACATCTGGACAGGCTGGATGTAGGCTGACAAGGCAGAATCTGAAATACTGAAAAGCATTCTAGAGAAAAATACTTTCTCCTTATTACCCATGAAAGATGATCCCTTTGGGGATTGAATTATTTTTATATGTGAACCCAACTATGTTATAAACTCTAAACCAAACAGAACTGCACTAACATGTCATATGCCACACCCTAACCAAAACTTTGGAGAGCTCCAGTGATGGATGAGGGGCTTAACATTTCCCTAGTGGAGAGGAAGAAGCCAATGCTGACATGGGCCACTATTTAATGAGGATCTACTGTGCTTTCTACCTGTAGGTTTCATTTAAGTGTCAGGATAATCATATAAAGTTGATAGTATTATGGCTTTCATTATATAAAGAAATTAGCTAAGCAACATATTAGAAAAATTAAATTGCTCGCAATATGCTAAACAAAGTAGAGGGAGAAAGTTGAAGTCCAGGGAACCAGTCAGAAGTCTATTTACAATAGCCCAGGTTTATTAATGAGGGATGGCAGCAAAAATGAAGGAAATGGAAACAATATTACAGATGTGTTATGTTAGAATTTAAGCCTCGGGAGGGCAGGAACATGATCTGCTTTGATCACTACTGAACCTTATTGCCTATAGCAATACCTGGAGTAGACACTCAATGAATATGTGCTAAAGAAAGAAAGAAGGAATCATTCTGTTCCAGCTACTCAACATGTCTATCACCTCTATGTAGTTATCACTTTGCAACTTTGCATGTGTGTGTGGTAAGAAGATTTTACTTAAGATCTATCATCTTAGTAAATTTCAAGCAAACAATATGGCATTTTTAACTATTGTCACCATGCTGGATAGTTGCCAATTTTTATTAAGGTCAGGATATCTTAACATGTTCAAGGAGATCTTAACATGTTCAAGATCTCCAGAACTTATTTATCTTGAATAATTGAACATTTGTACCCTTTGACCAACATCTCCCCATTTCCTTCTCCCACCATGTACATGTATATCAAAACACCAAGTCATGTACTTTAAATATATATATAAATATTTATATGTCAATGATATCCCAATAAAGCTGTTTAAAAATGAAAGAAAGAGATAAAAGGAGGCAGGAAGGGGGAGAGAAGGAGAAAGGAAAGGAAGGAAGGAGAGAAGGCAGGCAGGCAGGAAGGATTGAAGGGAAGGAGGGAAGGAAGGCAGGGAGGGAAGATGTAAACAGCCATTATACGCTGGGACTTTTTACTGTGAAACTTCTCAAATTTTTGAAATGTCTGTCTAGTTCTCTTTAAGCAAGGTCCCTTTTCTCCATCTAAACTTGCCACCTAGTATTAGAATTTTTTTTCAATATTACACCCAACTGTGTGTTGGCAATTTAATATAATTACCATTAGGTGTTCACTAACTTCTTCCTTGTTCCTCAAAAGGTGCCCTAAATGTTTGAAGGTGTGTAGGTTTTACTGGAGAAATAAAACACCCAACCATTACAACTGTAAATTGTTGTTATTGTTGCTCATGTAATCACTTTACTACAGCTCTCTGTATTTTTTCAATTGATTTATACTTACATGTAACTTTTTTAATAAATAAGAATTAAGCATAAATAGAAATTTTTGGCCCAAAAAGCTAATATTTTTTATTCAACATATTGGCTGTACAAATGATTTATTTTAAAGTACATTGGTAGCTATTTTTGCCTTAAAGATGATATCTAAATGTATAAATACCTGACAATATTTTTTGAAAGAAGGTACTAATAGAAAGAAAGAAAATTCTCTGAAAATTCAAATATCTTGGTAAACACGGTTCACAATATGCACTGAATTTGAGTGAGTTGTGTTAAAATAAATTTGACATATGTTGTTTTTCTACTCTGTGTTTTCAAGGCCTCATCCTCTTGTCTCCTTTGCTTCCTTTTTCTTTTTCTCTTTTTCTCCTAATTAGTTACTTATGAATGAGTTTAGGACTCAAGATCCCAGTATTATCACTCTTGAGAATTATTAGCAAAAAATAAATTAACTAGCTTTCCTGGAATATCGTTTTCACTAATTGCTTCAAAAACAAACATTGTCGCAGATACACTCATTTTCAATGAAATAAAATAATGTTTCTCCCAACAAAATTGTCCTTGAGAACTCTAAGTTTTCTATACTGGACAGTGTATAAATTTTGTTGTTAGCAAAGCAAAGGTTAAGAAACAAAAGATGACTCTGTGTTTTGGTGGCAGCATAGGACACTGGTTAAGTGCAAGGCCCTGGAGTCAGGCTGCCTAAGTTCAAATTTGGGCTTGGCTGTTGGTATTTAATATCTCTGTGCCTCAGTTTTCTCTCTAAAAAATCAGGATGTTGATGATAATAATAGTACGATTATAAGATCTTTGTGAGGATTCAATGGGTTAATTTATATAAAGAATGATGATGCCTAGAACTTAACAATCATTTCTTTCTAAAACACACACTGATGATAGACTACTTTGAAGAAATCAAAGTGATAAGATTCTTTACTGATCTAGGATTTAACAGGCATGGAGATTCCCATTTAGAGAAGTTCATCCACATTTTCTGATTTCGATAGGAACTACTTATGGTTATCATATATTAAGTTCCAGTGGGGAGGAAACAAAAACAAAAAAAAGTAAGATCTATCTCGGTTGTTTTGTAGATTTTAGAAGGCTTGGTGAGTAATTGGTTTTTATTTAAGTTCACAATTTCTTTAAATATGCAAACATCTGGCCCCAGCTCTTCATGTCCCGCCCCAAGAAACTTTTTCTTAAAATTTTTATTTTGCTAGTATTCTCTAATTGTTTATTGTCCTCTAATTGCCTTATTCCCTTCTGAACTGAAAGTTCACTAAGGCCTGAAGTCATATCTTAAGGACTTCTCTCTTTTTTCCTTCAAATCCAACCACCGTATATCAGGCTCTCATAAAGCATTGTTGATCGATTGTTAGTAAGGCCTTAACTTTGTATAGCACTTGATAATTTACAAAGCACTTCCACCTATAGTATTGCATCGATTCACCTGAAAAAGTATCTACATTTTCCAGTTTAGGAAACTGAAGTTGAGGAAAATTAATTTGTCAAAGATCACAAAGGCCAGTGAGTGATAAAAACCAAACTTTGAGCCCGTGTCCTCAGAGCAAGCCCACCGTTGTTTGCACTACATATTCCCCAGAACCAGTTTCCAATCCTGGATCTCCACAACTAGGGGACTCTCAGGTATGCAAAAACCCTCATTTTACACATTCAGGGGTAAAATGGATTGTCCAAGGCCAAAGTTTGGGATTTAGTGTCCTGACTCCCAGCACAGTGTTCTTTCAACAGATAAGAAATAGTAAGTTATAGAAGAGATAATAAAGTTGATGACTACCCTCTGCACTCACATCCAAAATTTTGGCCACATGATTTGCAAATCCCTATAATTTTAACATATATATTCTTTAAAAGAAACTTTGCCTAGGGTTTTTGAGCTGAGTTTGTATAGAAAAACAAACCCTGTACATTTATTCACATGTTGTACTTCTCATCTCCCTTGATACAGGTTATATGCAGTTTCTGATTTTGTTGGGACTTACTCAGACATTTGCCTTTGGTGTGAAAGATCAATATTTTCCCTTCAAATCGATTAGCCATGAATTAATTCTAGTGTAACAGATATGAGTCTCAGTGCACAAGCGCAGGTGTTCAAGAAATATTACCATTTTATTGCTTTTTAATCAACTTAATATAGCACCAAGCCTGCATTTTCATCCCAGTTCTTAAGAGAACTCCCTCCATTCTCAGGCTGCAGCAGAATCAATTAGGGTTATGTGGAGTGCAGAAAAGGTAGGAAGAGCCTCTAGCCAACAAGTTGTTTCGATGACCATTGACATCCTCATTCTCCAAGCCCAGGGTGTTCCTGGAAGGCCAGAGACTCTGGCCTCCATGCCATCTCCAGAGATTAGGGATCTTCTGTTGGTCCAGAAATCCCTGTGTCCAAGGTCTCTCCTCCCCTAGGTGCCATTTTTCTGGCACTAGAAAAATGGGAATGACTAGAATCTTCCCACCTCCCCAGTCATTGCCCTGACATAATGCCTTCACTCCCACTTCCCATGGAACACTCAAACCTCCCTTCTTATCAGTCTGGGAAGAATCTTCCTCCTAGCTTTCTCCAGACTCTCAAAGACCTTGTCCATTTCCTTTTTCCTGGTAGGACATTTTCATTAGCTCTTAAATCCTCAAATCTTTATGAACGAAAGGAAAGAAAAGAGAAAGAAAGGTAAGGCTGCTTCTCTTTTCCATCCCACAAAAATCCCTGAGCCATGAAAATAGGACCAGATAATATTTCAGTATTAATTCTGCCACACTACAAAGGTCTTTGAAATGAGTAAGGCATTGTCACAACATCATTTCACATGAGACAAGATTTAACAAGACCGACTCCTCAAAACTGTAAAGTCAAGCACAGTTGAAAGCATGCATTAAGAAGCATTATTCAAACATAAACTTCCAATAGGCCCTGCAGACATGGTGCAAAGCTGCTGGATAAACCATAATCTTTCTTCTGGGAGGGAAGTAGGTGATGCCATCATGGCTGAGCCTTGCTTAACAAAAGTAGAAATCCCTGACACACCCAGTGTCCTTTCAGATGCTCCCTGAGCCTTCACACTTTCACATTTATCCATCTCTTCCAAGGCTCACCAAAGGGGAAATAGAAACATCCCTTTGAGAATAAGAAACAGATTTTTTAAACTTTTCCAAAAATATTTGTCTTTCACTAAAGATACATTTTTGAGTACCAATAAAATAATATTTGGTGGGATCAGGGGTCTGGAGAACAGGTAAAGATGGAAAGAAAAAGAAAGAATGAAACTTTCAAAGCCTATTATCCTAGACATCAGCAAAACATAACCACTGCAGCCTCCTTTTTCTGAGTGAGGAGAAAAAATAAAAGTAAAAGAACTGTAAGGGATCATCAGAACTCTATATTACCAACTAGCAAGCTTAAAAATCACTTAAATAGGAAGAACGACAAGGGCTCCAAAGTTTTCAAAGACAGAAAGTTATCGACATCGTATTAGTAGCTTTTTGAAGACTATCTCTCTCCAACCTCCTTAACTTCTCCAATGTTTAACTCGTTACCATTAGACTAATGTTAAGACTTCTTTAGGAGGTACTACTGGATTTCTTTGTCATTAATGTTTGCTTGTTTACCTTTAGGCACTAAGCTTTGACCTAATATTGAAAAATGAACTACACCTTGGAATTATTTGCAATTATTTTGCTCAGATTTGTCTATTCTCACGCCATTTATTTTTTAGTTGATCATTTATTTATATCAGTATTGATATTTATTTTATACTTTGGGTTATAATCCAACATTGTTTTATTTATTTTGTTGCCCAAATTGTTCCAGCATTACGAAATTTAAAAAAAAATTAGTGATTTTTAAAACAGCAAAGTCAATCTTACAAAGATTAGTCTTTCCCAATTTTTAAAAAGAAAAACTGAGACTCAGAGATCTTAAATAATTTTCAAAAAAGAATGATTTGAACCCTTAATTACAAGATTCCAAGGCAAATATAAATTTTATACACTATTGCCTCCAGTGATTAGCAGAAAAAAACTAAAGAAAGGCCAAATTCAGAGTTTGCCTTACATATGCATGAAAAATGAATGGCCCATTAAAACAAATTATTATAGGACAGAAATGTAAAATGAGCCAAAACGTAATTGTTTAATGTTATTCTATCTGGCTATACATGAAATCATTGAAGAGCAAGTCGATGCAAAACAGAAAAAAAAAAAAAAAAACAAAAAAAAAAACACCAGGCTGGGCACGGTGGCTCACACCTGTAATCCCAGCACTTTGGGAGGCTGAGGTGGGCGGATCACAAGGTCAAGAGATCGAGACTATCCTGGCCAACATGGTAAAACCCCCATCTCTACTTAAAAAAAAAAAAATTAGCTGAGCGTGGTGGTGTGTGCCTGTAGTCCCAGCTACTCTGGAGGCTGAGGCAGGAGAATTGCTTGAACTTGGGAGGCAGAGGTTGCAGTGAGCCAACATCATGCCACTGCACTCCAGCCTGGCAACAGAGTGAGACTCCGTCTCAAAAGAAAAAAAAAAGAAAAGAAAAAAAGAAAACACCAAATAAATGCCTACAAAGCGCAAAAATACCTTTGAGGAATAAACTAGGGCAATACCAATGCTATTCATCCAAGCATCACCAGCTGGCTCAATGTCTCCAAATTTTAATAGGCTAAACGTGACCAATTTGAATTCCCTCTCCTATTCATCCATTTCTTCTATCTGTCTCATTTTAAAAACTGCCTTCTAAAACCCCTGGATTTCAGAGATGAACAGAACCAGGTGGTAAGGATGTAAAATTGATTTAGGAGAATTTAAAAGGCCAGGTCAAATCTAAATGCCCCCTAGGCTGAGTAAGAATTGTCCTTGGTCCCCAGGTGGGAAAGCACATAGAAAAGAGGTCGTGAGGAGAGGCAGAGTGGGTCCAGCCTGCCTTGCCTCAGCCCCAGCCAAGCAACTCTGAAACACGGACACTTTAGAGAAGGGAATCCTAACTCTACCCAGTGCCTGGGATTCCTCCTTTCCTGTGCACTTTCCCAAAGCACACAGTAAATTTAAATCTTTATGGTCAGAATTTTGACTCCAAAGGCTAGAATAGCAAAGCCTACCCCTCACCCTCTCCTGCCTGTATCTGTATACTCGCTGACTCCTGCCCAGCTCAGTCACCTTTGTCTACTATCCCCACAATGACACGTGTCTTGCTTCACATGGACCTTACTTTATTTTGGATCCAGAGGATTTAGAATCTCCACTTTATATAGATATAAATTCTATATCAGGTAGAATTACATTCTACCTGATCCTCAATGCAGCTCATCAACTTATTCTCTCTACCAGCCAGATATAGTGCTTTAGAACAAAATTTAAATAAATCATTGCTCAGAATGGCATCCTATCAGAAATAGCTCTGTGAAAAGGTTGAGAGCAGATTTCCAACAGTGGCTGCACACTAAAATCACCTGTTAAATCATAAGACCCAGGCCATGTTCGAGGCCAATTAACTTAGAATCCCTGGGAGTGAGACTCAGACACTGGCATTTTTATAGTCAAGTTTGAGATCCACCATGTGGAGACTCATGACCTACTACCAGGAACTAGGCTGGGTCGACATTTACTTCTAATTAGCTTCTGAAAAGGAAATAGCTGATGCTGTGAATAAAAAAACCACTTTATCTGCCTTTGTAACACTCTTCTCTTACGTCTGTTCAACTTGTAATTTTTGGTAACATAAAGTGATCTTTGAGACCTAAATGATCCTTAAGTTCTGAGAACTTCATTGTAATCAAATGTCTCATTTGCTTAGAAAGAAAGATGCAAGGAGACAAGTAGAAGGAAAGAAAAAATAAAAGCTATTCACCCTAATGGTTCTCACTTACAAATTTAGTGTTTCCATGTAACATTTCTGTCTTGTTTTGATTTTGGAGAGGAACTGTTGAAGAACAGAGCTGTTGGGAAAAGACAATTCTTCAGTTAAAAATAACTACAGTCATGTGACACATAATGACATTTTGGTCAATGACAGAATAGTATACATGACAGTATTTCCATAAGATTATAATGGAGCTGAAGAGCTCCTATTGCCTGGTGATGTCATAGCCATCCTAATGTTGTACTGTAACACATTACTCACCTGTTTGTGGTGATGCTGATGTAAACAAACCTACTGCACTGCCAGTCACATAAAAGTCTAGCACATGCAGTTATGTGCAATATAGAATCATTAATAATGATAATAAGTGACTATGTTACTGGTTTATATATTTACTATACTTTTAATTGTTATTTTAGAATGCACTCCTACTCATAAAAAAAAAAAAACACTATAAAACAGCTTCAGGCAGGTCCTTCAGGAGAGATACCAGAAGGCCTTGTTATCATAGGAGATGACAGCTCCATCCATGCTATTGCCCCTGAAGACCTTCCAGTGGAACAAGATGTGGAGGTGGAAAACAGTGATATTAATGATCCTGACCCTGTGTAGGCCTAGACTAAGTGTGTGTTGTGTCTTTGTTTTTAACAAAAAAGTTTAAATGGTAAAAAATAAATAAAGAAATTTTAAAATACAAAAAAGCTTATAAAGATATAAAGAAATAAAATATTTTTGTACAGCTGTATGTGTTTGTGTTTTAAGTGTTATTACCAAGAGAGTAAAAAAGTTTTCTAAAACTAAAAAGCTTATAAAGTAAGAAAGTGACAGTAAACTAAGGTTAATATATTATTGAAGAAAGAAATTTTTTATAAACTTAATGTAGCCTAAGTGTACAGTGATTACAGTCTACATTAGCGTAGAGTGATGTCTGAGACCTTCACATTCACTCACCACTCACTCCCTGACTGATATGGTTTGGATTTGTGTCCCTGCCCAAATCTCATGTCAAATTGGAGAAGGGGCATGGTGGGAGGTGATCGGATCATGGGGGCATATTTGTCCCTTGCTGTTCTCATGATAGTGAGTCAGTTCTCATGAGATCTGGTTGTTTAAAAGTGTGTGGCACTCCCCCCTCCTCTCTCTCTCTCCTGCCACCATGTGAAGAAGGTGCTTGCTTCCCCTTCACCTTCCACCATGATTGTAAGTTTCCTGAGCCCTCCCAGTCATGCTTCCTGTTAAGCCTGTGGAACTGTGAGTCAACTAAACCTCTTTTCTTCAGAAATTACCCAGTCTCAAGTAGTTCTTTATAGCAGCATAAGAACAGACCAATACACTGACTTACTCACAACTTATAATCTCACAAGCTCCATTCATGATAAATGCTCTATATATATAAGTGCCCAGAGTGTACCATTTCTATCCTTTATACCCTATTTTTACTGGACCATTTCCATGTTGAGATATGTTTAGATACACAAGTACTTGCCATTGTGTTACAATTGCGTACAATATTCAATAAGTGACAATACTTACAGATTTGTAGCCTAGGAGAAATAGGCTATACCATATAGCCTAGGTGTATAGCAGGCTAGACCATCCAGATTTGCCTAAGTACACAATGATGTTTGCACAGAAATTACCTGATGACACATTTCTCCTCATTATTAAGTGACATGTGCCTGTATTTAGCAACAGAAAGGATGCAATGCATCCTGAATTAAAGTAGAGCTAGGAATCAAAGGAGGCACAGCCAGACAGAAGAGACATGCCAAAGAAATCTCAGCACACCAGAAAAACTTACCTTCATCACAGGATGATCAAATTCAGAGAAGTCTCACATTTTTAAGGAAATGTGTAAATTTACTTAAAAAATTGTAAAGGAGTTTTTAACCAAATGTAATTAGAAGTAAAACTCTAACTACCACACCTTCACAAACACTAGGGTTTACCTTGAAAAGAGGCAAATACATGTTCATATTTTGTTATATTGTGAACTTCATAGATTCGTTTGGAAAGACAGAAGCATAGTTTTAGTGAAACTTTTATCTGAGCCAAAGGGAAAAAAAGTGGAATTTCAATGCTTCTTTGAATAGCTGAAGAGCAGTTCTTAGTGGCGGATGGCTCTGATGTTTGTAAAGAAGAATAGATCTCCTGTAATCAAGAAGAAATTCACACTGCTCCATGTAGAGCACCAAGCCCTCTCCATACTGTGGGTTGCATATCTGTGCAGATTATACACTTAAAAAGTGTTTTCTTCATTAATTTGGACTTAGACTGCATCAACTCTAAGATAACTGTCATCCCAGTGAGTGGGATATGAGTGTGTATCTGTGGGTGCACATACACACACGTATTCCATTAACCACCCACATGGTACACAAGAGAATGAAGCAACATAACTTTACATCAACCAGAGGTGACCCTGGGGTTTTCTGCTTTATGTCTCTTGTGGCCAGCTGTAGATAGGATAACTCAGAATTTTCAAAGGTGCAGCTGCATGTTACTGTGTCTAAGAATAGTTCTCGGGGAGAGATCCAAGAGTGAGAAGAGGATATAGTTTCCTTTAAAAGACTAGAGATGAGACTAAACTTGGTGGCTTATGCCTGTAATCCCAACATTTGGTGGCCAAGATGGGAGGAATGCTTGAGCCTGAGAGCACGAGAGCAGCCTGGACAACATGAGATCCTGTCTCTACAAAAAATAAAAATAAAACTTAGCCAGGCATGGCTGTGCACACCTGTGGTCCCAGCTACTTGGCAAGCTGAAGCAGGAGGATTGCTTGAGCCTGGGAGATCAAGGTGCTATGATTGCACCACTGTACTCCAGCCTGGGTGAGAGAGCAAGATCTTCTCTCTCTCTCAAAAAAAAAAAAAAAAAAAAAAAAAGACTGAAGATGTACCTTTGGATGTCTGTCTGTCTCTCTCTCTCTCTCTCTCTCTCTCTCTCTCTCTCTCTTTCCCCCCAACCCCATCCTCTATCTTTTCATCTCTCTCTAAAAGAAAAAGGCACATCTGAAATAGGAAATACTGTAACTGAACAATGTCTTTTATAGGATAGAATATCTTCACAAATGGATTTAAATAATTTTATCTCTTTTACTAGACTCTGGAGATGGCCATATTTGTCATCTAAGTCTCATAGTTTTCTCTGTTTTTAGAATTCCTTCTATAGCAGTGATTGCTAACTATCCCCCAATATTCATTCTCCTCTTTCCATAGTCAGGGAGCCTTTGAGCTCTACCTGGCTTCTTGGCCACCCAGAATATAGACAGCAGCCTCCCTTGCAGCTGGATGGGGCCAAGTGACTAAGTTGTGGCCAGTAGGTTGATTGTGAAAGCACTGTGCGCAACTTCCAGGCCATGTCCTTAGAAAGACCTTAATAGGATATAGACACAATGGTGTACCATCTTGGATCTTGCATGCAGCTGCCTTGCAGTAGTAGAACAACAAGGTGGAAGTTTCTCTGTCCCTGTCATGAAGAAGCACCACCATAACAGCTCAGACTCTTATATGGCAGAGAAACAAACTTCCACTTTATTTAACCCATTACAAATGTTGGTTCTCTGTTTCCATAGCTAAACCTATATCCTAATGAATATAACCTCCAGTTAATTCCCTCAGTAATTTTTTGTATTGGTGGTGTGGTACAGAATTACACAACAGAGTAGTAAAAGATACTGTGTCCTTCTCAACATCACCATGTCACTGATGCCAACATTATAGTAGCGGCATCATATCATGAGGACAATGGCCATAGGGTCCACGCAGCGGTCACCTATGAAACAAGCAGAGACCCAGAGCCAATCTGGGTCTCATGTTCCCAGAGATAGGAACGTGTGACACCAAGAAATAGCTCAGGAAAATAAAAGTATAAACCCACCTTTCCCTAAATAGACTGAAGGAAGAGAAATCTTCCTTGGACGTGTATGTCCACTTGGATTATATCTAAACTTGGAAAAATTGAGATAGGAGGAGATGGGTCAGCACACAAACCCATGTGAGGGACATGGGACAGATGTGAGGTTAAGCATCTACTCTACCACTGGCCAGCATATGACCGTGGGCAAGTGACTTATCCTTTCTTAGCCAGGATTTCCCCATTTGGAAATGGAGTTAATAACAGCTAATTTCCAAGGCTATTTTATGAATTAAGTTAAATAATACTTGGTAGAACACCTGGCATATAGTAGGTGCTGAATATATAGCCTTTTAAAAAAATTTCCCACTCCAGCTAAGAGAAAATCATTACTTTTCCTCAAAATACAGACCTTATTCATTCCTGCTTTGGGTCACAGTTTCCCTCCACTCATCTAAAAGGCCCTTCTTTTCCCCTCCCTGCAAAGTCTAAACAGAATTTTACCTCCTTCACAAGGCCTTATCTGCTCTTTCTCTCCATTCTCTGAAGTCTATAGATGTACTGTCTTGTCTGTGTCACTCATTGCCACTTAATCCCACACTGTTTTTCATTGTAACTTAAGACATTCGTGTTCGTTAGGTCTGTCTTCCATTAGAGTCTAAAGTTTCAGAGTATGTTCTTTTCCTTCTGATCACACATCCTATTTAATCCAACATGGTGTGATCCCAAAATACTCATTAAAGGGATAAATGATACCCTTCAAACAAATGTGCATGTGTAGCTTACAGAGAGCCAAGTAGAATAAATGTCATTCTATTCATATACTGGGTAACCAAATGGCAGAATACCTTAAACTTTAAAAATCAAATTAATGGAATTTTGACATTTGCAATCATATGCGAAGCCAATAGCATGTACTTTAAATTTTTTCATGACAGGAATAGTTCCCTCCCTAACAGCAGGTAGTTCTAGCTGCATACTCATAGCTGTTTCCCCTGCCATTTTAAAGCCCATCGTGATGCTGTTATTTTGTTGCCTTTACTAAAGTAATATTCATTAATTTATTTCTCAGTCATTTATGTGCTAAGTAAGACTTGGGTCATCAAAAATAAGTAATTCAAGGAATTGCTTATCTAGTATATTTTGTATATTTTGCTAGTCATCTACATTTTGTAAGCTATTGTATTATTTTGCTAGGTCTTCCAGAACAAATTACCACAAACTAAGTAGCTCATACAAATGAAATTTATTGTCTCGCAGTTCCGGAGGCTGGAAGTTCAAGACAAGGTGTCAGAAGAAACGGTTTTCTCTGAGGGCCATGAGGAAGAATCTGTTCCATGCCTCTGCCCTAGCTTCCCATGGTTAGCTGGCCACTGGCGTTCCTTGCCTTATGGAAACATCACCCTATCTCTGCTTTCATGTTCACATGATGTTCTCCCTGTGTGCCTGTGTCCAAATGTCCCCTTTTTATAAAGACACAGTCATATTGAATTAACTGCCCTCTCCCCACTCAAGTCTGATCTCATCTTAACTAATTCTCTCTGCAACTACTCTATTTCCAAATAAGGTTACATTCTCAGGTACTGGGAGCTAGGACTTCAATGTAAACATTTTGAGGGGACACTATTTAACCCATAACAACTATAATACCTGTACTTTATGTCCCAAAAACAACCCAAGGGGAAGACAAGAGACATCTGCATTCATTAGAAGCCTGACTTCATGGGAAGATATAAATTACTACTCTGCACATTGATGGTAATTGATGTTTTCAATGCATGAGTCAATTTATGTAAAGAACTTAGAATAGTGCCTGGCAATATAGTAAGTTCTTGACAAGTGTTAGCTATGTGTAGTAGTAGTAATAGTAGTAATATTCATATTATTAAATTTTAGATTTAAAATCACAGTATTCAATGTAATGTCAAAAATAATTCACCCTCAGCTATGAGTTTCAATAACAATTGAAACCTAGAAAAAAGTGGAGATACCCATTCACAATTGCTACAAAGAGAATAAAATACCTAGGAATACAGCTAACAAGGGAAGTGAAGGACCTCTTCAAGGAGAACTACAAACCACACCTCAAAGCAATTGGAGAGGACACAGACAAATGGAAAAACATTCCATGCTCATGGATAGGAAGAATCAATATCATGAAATAGCCATATTGCCCAAATTAATTTATAGATTCAATGCTATTCCCATTAAACTACTATTGACATTCTTCACACAATTAGAAGAAACTGTTTTAAAATTTGTATGGAAGCAAAAAAGCTCATATAGCCAAGACAATCCTATTCAAAGAGAACAAAGTTGGAGGCATCATGCTACCAGACTTTAAACTATACTACAACACTGCAGTAACCAAAACAGCATGGTACTGGTACAAAAACAAACACATAGACAAATGAAACAGAATAGAGAACTCAGAAATAAGACCGCACATCTACAACCTTCTGATCTTTGAAAAAGCTGACAAAAACAAGCAATGGGGAAAGGATTCCCTATTTAATAAATGGTGCTGGGAGAACTGGCTAGCCATATGCAGAAAGTTGAAACTGGACACCTTCCTTATACCTTAAACAAAAATTAACTCATAATAGATTAAAAACTTAAATGTAAAACCCAAAATTATAAAAACTCTAGAAGAAAATCTAGCCAATACCATTCAGGACATAGGCATGGGCAAAAATTTCATGACCTAATCGCCAAAAGCAATTGCAACAAAAGCAAAAATTGACAAATGGGGTCTAATTAAATTAAAGAGCTTCTACACAGCAAAAGAAACTATCATCAGAGTGAACAGGCAACCTACAAATTGGGAAAAAATTTTGCAATCTATCCATCTGACAAAGGTCTAATATCCAGAATCCACAAGGAACTGAAACAAATTTCCAAGAAACAAACAACCCCATTAAAAAGTGGGCAATGGACATGAACAGACACTTCTCAAAAGAAGACATTAACACAGCCAACAAACGTGAAAAAAAGCTCAACATGATCATCAGAAAAATGCAAACCAAAACCACAATGAGATACCATTTCACACCAGTCAGAACGGCAATTATTAAAAAGTCAAGAAACAACAGATGCTGGTGAGATTGTGGAGAAAAAGGACCTCACTTTCTGGTTTATAAAGGGAGATTGTGAGACTATGTGTTAACACATGAAACACACTTTGAACAGTCAGTGCCTGCCCATAGTAAGCACTCAAAATATGTTAGCTATTTAGCTCCCCTAAAGCCTAGTCCAGTCTCTGACATAGAGGGTGTTGTTCAAGAAATACTCTGGAATAAATGAATGAATAAATTTCTTGGAAGAAACATATTTTTCTTTGCATCTCTCCCAGAGCCTAGCACAGTGACTGATTAACAAATTTTGTATTTCAAGAAAGGCTGCAAGACAAAGATCCCACCGAAAGGAGGAAACAAAGTCACTAGGGTAGCATTCTAAATGCTCAGGAGAGGTTTTTTTTCCTGGCCAGAGATCTTCTCTTCAAATAGTTCTATTCAAGCATCTCGGTAGTTACCTATTTAATCTTCCAACACATCAGATCTCTCTGAACTTTACCTCATACCAAAAAAAAAATGTTTACAAAGGAGAGGTGAATATAGACAGGAATGTGAAGGAATCCATCCTTCACTGCTAAAATTGATTGATTTTCTACACTATGTATGATGCTGCCACTACATCTTCCTCAGGAATATTGGAGCCATTCTTCAATAGCAACTCATAGAAGCATTACGATTTTGGAGCTAATCATTGGTTTGTGAAACATGGCCAACAATCAGCAATAGGCAGGTATAAGCCTGTCCAGAATGTTATGGGTGGAGTGTAAGTGGTGTGGATCACCCCACTCAGATTAATGCCAGTGTTACTTAAAAACAATTCATTCTGTTCAAGATTGCACAGACTTTCTGTCAGATATTTACACTGTATCTCACCCAGAAATTCTTATATAGGAAAGAGAACTCCCACAAACATAAGGATGAGACTTTGGTTCCAAAGATGAAAATAAAAGAACACTGGAGTAAACATTTTTCAAAAAAAATCAAAAATCTTGTTCTCACTCCACTCCCTTGTGAACCATATGACTTGTCCCTATAATTCAGAGATTTAATATTTCTGCAA
The DNA here is from genome assembly GCF_000001405.40 of Homo sapiens. Lineage (NCBI taxonomy): Eukaryota > Metazoa > Chordata > Mammalia > Primates > Hominidae > Homo > Homo sapiens. The sequence continues at coordinate 54,446,392 of NC_000018.10, read as the reverse complement.
TGGGTCAATAATATCTGCCTTGCTTACATTAGGGTATCTGCCTTGCCTACATTAGGGGATTGTTGTAACTATTTATTCATTTAACAAGCATTTATTGAGCACCTACTCTGGGCCAGGCCGAATAAAAAGTGTTAGGCTAAGAAGACAAATTTGATAGAATCTCCCAAAGAAATATGCTAATATAAACTGAAAAATGGATGGTATCATTACATTGTTATAAATATAGTTGCATTTGCAATTTAAGAATGATGAAGAGAAAACCAAACACCGCGTGTTCTCACTCAGAAGTGGGAGTTGAACAACGAGAACACATGGACACAGGGAGGGGAACATCAAACACCAGGGCCAGGGCCTGTCGGGGGGTTGGGGACAAGGGGAGGGAGAGCATTAGGTCAAGTACCTAATGCATGTGGGGCTTAAAACCTAGATGACGGGTTGATAGGTACAGCAAACCACCATGGCACATGTATACCTATGTAACAAGCCTGCACATTCTGCACGTGTATCCCAGAGCTTAAAGTAAAATGAAATAAAATAAAAGAATGATAAAAGAAAGATCTTTCAGCAGATCATGGTCTGCTTCACAACCTACTCCACAGGGAAGGGTTCACTTTATCTCCACTTCCACTGTATTTTGATTTGACCTCCCACAGAGAGGCTTTCTCTGGCCATCGTATCTGAGGTATTCCTCCACTCACTGTTACTTTTTTAAAAAACCATGGCACCTGTTTATTTCCCTCATAGCAAATATTTGTAATTACATATTATATGTCTGTGTACTCATTTATTGCTTATTTCTGCTACAAAACATGCATTCCATGAGGTCAAGGATTTCGTTCTTGTTGACTTATTCTTATTAGTACCTAGTATAATACCTGGAGCATAGTAGGTGCTCAATGAATATTTGTTCCATACCTGAATGAATGGATAGACAATCATGTCCCAAAGAGTCAGCTCAACTGAAGCAAAACAGATATGATGCCTTGGAAATCATAAGACTGAAAATGAATCCACGAAGTTTGTAGACTCAAATTCTTAGCCTTCGTCTGCATTTGTTGTCTATTCAAAGGTAGAAGAAAGCAAAGGATTCATCGTATACTTATTATTTTGTTCAATACTTACAAAAACAACCTTTCCAAATAGGTATTTTTAACCCTATCTTACCGATAAGTAAATTGAGGCTTAAGGAGGACACTAACTCAGGGTCTTATCATTGGTAAATCGCCAAGCCTGTTGTTTCTCTTTAACCATTTGCTTCCTGCAGATTGATAAACTACCCCTAATCTCCCCCTTTAGACACAAGAAATAAGAGAGGAGAGAAGGCAGGAGGAGAGGGATCAAGGCACAATCATACTTGCACAGCAAAGAGATGAGAGTTGACAGTACAGTGTAAAAATTCACCTCCCTTTAAAGATCAGAAAACACTGAATCAAGTGTCCTCATTCCTGTGTGAAAAACCCAGAGTAAGTAATTTGTCCAAACTCACAGGCTTGTGCCCTGGATTTCTTTGTAGATTATCGGTAACTCTCCAGTCTAAAATACTCTGCTTCTTTAGCTTTCTTTCCCTGCTCTTTCCTTTAGTCTTTCTTTCTTTGTAAGGAAGCTATTTAAAAAGCACAAAGACCAAGCAAGAAAAGAGTGTCTGTGTTCACAGAAAGAGGATTTGCCCTTCAATACAGCTATTATAAAGCTTGGTGCTTTATAATAAGGTTTTCATGCATGTGTATTAAATTCCCCTTTGGAGACTAGAGCTATGGCCCAGTAGTCCACAGGAAATCTATTTTTTTACAGAATTTCCCTGAGAGCCACAGCTATCCCATTTGTAAAACAGAAACTTCAGTCTGAGTTGCAAAAACTTCTCTGGTGGTGTATGAGCGCCACCTGACGCCCAGAGACAGGGTGGCTTCAGTTTCAGACCTGGTTACAGGCTTGATATCCTAACCACAAAATGTCATCAAAACGCGAGGCCATCCACTTGGATTCCATGAAATTCTTTGTCAATAACATGGAGCCAATAACATCCATTATAACTGTTTAAAACGTCCGTTGTAAATATTTGTCTTTATATGAATTTGTACTTGGGGCCTGAGTTGCATCTCCTATTTTATGTGTATATTATGTCACCTCTAAGTTTATTAATTCAACCAATATTTGTTGAACACCTACTATGTGCGACACCCCATTCTTGATGCTGCAGAGGGAACAAAAATGAATAAAAAGGAAAAATAAAATCTCCACCTCCAAAGAGTTTCCATTCTGCAGGAGAAATAAAACATCTTGATGACTTAGGGAGAAAAGTCAGCATAAGTCAACATTCTAAGTGTTATGATTGGAAAAAGCTCAGGGAACATCCAGAGAAGGACTCGCTGTCTGAGGTGAGAAGACTCACAGAGGCTCTGTGTAATGTGGGCAAGAGATTACCTGGGAGACACTGCACTTGGGGAGGATTACTTTTCTCCTTGAGGCCAGTGGCTTAGCAAGGGTGGGTTGTGGTAGGTGAAGACTGGCCTCTTTACTGAAACCTGGGGGCTGGGGTAGTAAGGGAGACCCAATAGCACAGAGAGAAGGATCAGGCAGAAGAATGCAACCCAGGCACAACGAGAACTTCCTTCTTTTGTAAAAGGATGAACTTCCAGGTGATGATGTGTGTCCGACCGATTGACCGGCCGACCAACACTTAAAATGGCACAAATAGATGAGATAAATGAGCTCCGGCTGTAGGCTCCTCACGTGGCAGATCTCTTTCCCTGTGGGCTGCTGAGACACCAAAATTGGGCTTTGAATTTAGGAGTGCCTCCCGGGGGAAGAACGAAGGCCCTCTGCACTGCCCATGACTTAATCAGAGCTGTCTCCTTTCCATTACATTCTTGCTAGTTCCCTATCAGTCTTTTAATTGACATAAGATTCTGGTGCACACAAAGGCTGTGAGGGGAATACATGGGCTGGACACTGTGGAAGGAATCAAGGTCTGGGTCCTCGACATCCGTGTCTTTTCTTAAAAGTGATTGTCCCGGCACAGCCTCTGATGGTGAGGCAGGGTCCCCTCCGTCACCGCCCCTGTTACAATCCTCCTCTCCCTCCTCACAGAAGAATGGCATGGCCTTCCCCAGTTTTACTGTGGAGCATCACCTCAGGCCAGAAAGACCTCCAGGTCACTAAAACCATGGGCAATTTGAAAAAGGATGACCCCTGAGGAAGAGCTCTGTGAGGGCAATCGAAGCCAGTGAAATAGAAAATATGGAGGGGCAAAGTCTTATTGCACCCAAATGACAAACTCAGGTTAGTCTCCCAGCCTGTTTGTATTCCCATTCCTTGTACTCTCTCTTCTTCCCTCTATTTTAGGATGAGAGTTGAGAAGTGGGATGGTTATCCCAGGAATGCATTTGAATGGAATTTTAAAACATCAAGGAAGCCACTTTTTGTCAGAAAGAAAGCTTAATTTGGCTGTTTGGGTTGACGATGAGGAATGGTTTTGTCAATTAATTATGTGGTGGGCACATTCTATGAAGAGATAACAGGTAACTTTCACTTAGTTTTCTAATGCATTGTCTTCCTGTCTTCCTTCCTTCCTTCCTGCATGCCTGCCTTCCTTGTAGCTTCCTTCTGTAACTCCAAAAAATTTATTTGAAGCACAGATGTAATATGAAATAATCTGATAACCGTGTCATTTGCAATTATTTGTTTACAATTTTTAATATTTCTATGTAAAATATAAATGTAAGAGGAAATATATAGGTTTTCAAATTATTTGGAGGTGATGCAAGCCAGGAAGGAAGGAAGAAAGAAATGTAGGAAAGGAAGGAAGGAGAAAGGGAGGAAAGCAATGCACTAGAAAACCAAAGTGAAAGTTACTTAAGCCCTGTCTTACTGTCATTTTTACAGCCCTAGAACCTGAACCAGCCATGGCGTAATTTTCATGGCTTACAGGTTCTCAGTCTCTAGCCAAATGTCCACGACTTGAATGAGTCAGGATACCAGAGACCCTGTATGCCTGTATGACAGGGTCTATGTAAGAAAGAAAACCTGTTCAATATTCTTTAACCCCCTGTGTCCCAGATTACTTCTCTGTGTGTGTATGAGTGTGTGTGTGTATGTGTGTTTGTCCTACTAAAACAACTTTGAAATGAAGAGATAACCCTACAGGCGGTAGCAAATGGTCTTGTTCTTCTAGTGCTCTGATGGCCAATTTGGGAATAATCCCCTCACTTGGTAACCCATGTTGCTTAGGGCACACCTTCACTCATGGGTACAGAGGATTATAGGAATAGTCATTCCCCATATTTTGCTGGCTCTTACCCTTGCCTGCCACACAGGTCCCTAAACCCTTCAAAGTCCCCTTGTATACTTTTTAGAATACCCAAGGGCTGCCTCAAATGGACTCACACAGGCAAGCTCAGTTAGGTATCACATGAAGTCCCCCAGCCACCATCTCTGGTGCCATAAAGTGCTGCCATGCCCACTGGGAGCTGCTTCATGACAAGCACCTGTACCATTTCTTCCAGGGAGATCTGCATCCTCCAGCCCCTGCTGCTGCCACTAGGTATCATGATTATGCCTGCAACCAGTGCTTCTTCTGCCAGGTACTATCCCATTTTCCAGGCCTGGCAGCCCACGCTGCTGAGAAGCACACTGTCCACCATGCTGCTGCTCTGGAGCCCTGAAGAAGTCTAAGTTGCTCTACAATCTCTGGAATCCTCAGCATGCGGATGACATGTTGCATTCCCTCAGCAAGTGGGGAGAGCCTCTTTCCTGTTGGAGGCTACACTCTGTTAGCTCCATGCCAAAGAGGTTTCTCAGCCTCTAGCAGACATAGGGCTTCAGTTGTAGCCAGCCTGCTAGTACAGAAGACTTCCCCAAAGACACATCTGAACCCCAGCAATAGATGTTGCCTGGTTTTGAGCAATGCACCATCCACCAAGCCAACTAATAGTATGACCCTTTCCTCTGCACTTGCTGCAGAGCTCTCCTCTCCTTTCTCACCTCCCATGTGCACAGGAATCACATTTCCACCCCCACCCTTGTACAGGAGCTGATAAAAAAAAAAAACAAAAAAACCCTGGAACAATTGTCATTATTTGCAATGATATGATGTGTATAGCTAAAAATATCAACATTAAATATTTTCTAAAAACAATTAGAGAGCTCAGTAAGGTAGTCAGTTACAATATTAATATACTAAAGTTAATGGTTTTTCAAAATATCAAAAATAATAATAAAATATAAATTTAAAAATCCATTTTTATATAAACTATGTTATAAGAAATGTGAGAAAGCCACATGAGAAAAACTATAAAAATTCTTCTGAATTATATAAAATGTGACTTAAAACATGATTCAAAATATTGTGTTTCTAGATGAAATGGTTCAATATTTTTTAAATGTCAATATTTTTTCAATTATATGTTTAATACTACCCCAATCAAAAACCCAGCATTCCCTTTTTGAAAAAATAATATCAAGTTCATCTGGAAGAATAAAAATGTAAGAGTAGCTAAGACTGTAGGAGAAAAGAGTAATGAAATGAGACTTGTCCTTCCAGATACTGAAACATATCATTGAGCGAGGCCATACCACAAGCGACAGACAAATCAATATATTTGAAATAAAAGCAACATTTTGAATCAATGGAGAAAAGATGAACTATGTATGTAGTAGTGATGTTAGACCACAGACTAACCCTTGGATAAATAAATGAAATTCCCTACTTCAGATACCAGTTAACTTCTACTTCATAATAAAGCAAGCCTCAGAGCATAAAAACACCACCATTTGTCTAGTTTACTTTTCTATGGGTCATCAGTTTGGCCTAGACTCAGCAGAGAACCTCCTCTGAACTTGGCCAGGCTCATCACGGGTCTGCCATCAGTTACTGTCCAGCTGACTTCTTGGCTGAGGGCCAGCTGGTCTAAGATGGCCTCACTCATGTCTCCAAAAGTTGGCTTGCTGTCAGCTAAATGATGAGAGTAGCAGGGTCATATGCCTCTTGCTGCCTAGCAGGCTTATTCCTATGGCACTGTAAGGTTCTGAGAGAGCAAGCAGAGCATGAAGGGCCTTTGAAGGTCTAGTCTTGGGACTAACAGAATATCATTCTCACTACATTTGATTGGTCAAAGCAAGTCACAAGGCCAGCCCAGATTTAAGAGGTAGGAAAACAAACTCCACCTCCTGATGAACAGAACAGCAAAGTCACATTGCAAATGGGGGTTCATACTCAAAAGCGTGCAGAATTGTAGCCATTTTTCTAATCAATCAGGCATACTAAATCTAAATAAACTGCAAATTCTGTATGTTAATGTACTGATAAAATCATAAACATCTTAGAATAAAATATGAGTGACTATTCATATGTGGGACTGCAGACACTTTTCTAAGCAAGACAAGAAAACTAGATCCCACATAAGAAAAGGTTAAGGCCAGGCACAGTGGCTCACACCTGTAATCCCAGCATTTTGGGAGGCTGAGGTGGGTGAATCACTTGAGGCCAGGAGTTCAAGACCAGCCTGGCCAACATGGTGAAACCCCATCTCTACTAAAAATACAAAAATTAGCTGGGCGTGGTGGCACACACTTGTAATCCCAGATACTTGGGAGGCTGAGGCGTTCAAGGTTCACTTGAACTGGGAGGTGGAGGTTGCAGTGAACCGAGATAGCACCACTGCACTTTAGCCTGGACAACAGAGTGAGACTCTGTCTCAAAAAAAAAGGAAGAAAAGATTGACCTAGTTGACATCTAAATATCTAAAACTTTTGCATAATCAGGAAATCACCATAAAAAAGATAAAAGGTAAACCAGGTACAATGTGCAATACTAACAAATGGTTAATTCTTAAAGAGCTTTAATAATTTGACAATTTTAAAAAAGAAAAATAGACAAGTGATAATTTATAGAAGCACAAATTACAAATTATGAATAAAGATGTAAAAAGATGATCATCCTCAACAGTAATCTAAGGCATCTACAATTAAAACAATAATAATTTATTATTCTTTGACTATGGGATTGGCAAATATGGCTTTAAATGATAATTCAGAGTATGATTAAGGGTTTGGAGTAAGGAAATTAATGTGCTCTTGGTGAAAATGTAAACTGGTAAAGACTCTCTGGATGGTAGTTTGGCAAGAGCCAGCAACATTTTAAATGTGTATAACTTGAACTCAGCTAGTCCATATCTAGAAATATTTCTATGAGATCCACACGCAAAAACTGGAGGCATGGGATGATGTGTGGAGTGGCAATCATTTATCCATTTTCATTGGGATGACTATTGAGAAAGTGACATTTAAGCAAAGTCCTGAAGGTGTGGGAGGTTCAAAATCTGGCTAGAGGGAACCACCAGAGCAAATGCTGTAAGACACAAGTGTGCCAAGGGAATTGGAAGCTCAGCCCAGAGGCTTATGTGGCTGGAGAGCAGTGAGTGACCAGGAACAAGAGTAGTAAAGATGAAGTCAGAGAGGGAGTTGTGGTGGGCCATGGACAGATGGGACATGGAAAGGGGCAGAGAATAGAAGATAGATCACATAGGACCCTGTAGGATTCTAGTTTCTCTCTGGATGACATGGGGAGCCACTGGATGGTTTTGACAAGAAGATGACATGATCTGACTTAACTTAAAGATCCCTCTACTTTTCTAAAAATAGACTGAAAGTGGGATGCAAAGGCAGAAGTAGAAAGGCAACTTAGGAAGCCTCTGAAGCAAGTCAGGAGATAAATGATATAACTCTGCCCAAGGTGGTGACAGTGGCAGTAGCAAGAACTGGTCAAATTCAGGATTAGCTCAGAGTAGAGAGAAAATGTGAGAGAAAGAGAAAAGGCAAAAATGACTCCAAGGATTTTTACCTGAGTATAGAATAGATAGGATATTTGGAAGGATAGAATTGCCAGGAACCAAAATGAAAAATGCTCAGGGAGAACAGTCTTAGAACAAAAGATTAGAAATTGACTTTCGTTCCTGTTGAGTTGGAGATGTTTATCAGACAAGCAAGTGGAAATGTCAAGTGGGGAATGCCGACAAGAGTCTAGAGTTTTAGACAGAGGGTCTAAGGGAGAGATGGGCTTAGCCAGGTGGAGGAGTGAAAGCAAAGACCTCCAGCATCATCACAAGTCATCCAGGAACTGTGTGGTGTCGATTAGGCATGTATATCATTTCATCATGGTTTTCTTTACGGCATGTAAAAGGAGAGCTGTGCACTAAAGTTAAGCTTAAAGTAACTAACAGTCTTCACCATAGTATCCAGTGTTCAGCCTAACACTGCCATGAGAAGCACTAGATGAAAGTTGCCATTAAATTCTTTCCTGGCCAAGTACAGTGGCTCAAATCTGTAATCCCAACATTTTGGGAGGCTGAAGCAATATGATTGTTTGAGGCCAAAAGTTTGAGACCAGTTTGGGCAACATAGAGAGAACCCACCTCTTAAAAAAAAAAAAATTGTAATTAGCTAAACATGGTGGTGCATGCCTGTAGAGCCAGCTGCATGGGAGGCTGAGGCTGTGAAGCTGGAGGATGGCTTCAGCTCAGAAGTTGGAGGATGCAATGAGCTGTGATGGCATCACAGCACTTCATCCTGAGTGACAAAGCAAAACTGTCTCTTAAAAAAAAAAAAAAAATCCTGCAACAGCATGCACAACTCTCCAAAGCTGTGTTCCGATAATGAAGAGAATCAAAAGAGGTGGCAAGCACATTCTAGGTAGGTTAAAGTCTCTAAATGAAACCAAAGCTTTACAAAGTTGTGTTACCTTTTACCTCTCTCTTCCACAGTGAGACTAGAGGTTCAGTTAACCAGGTAATATCAATTTCTAGAGCAGTTACATCGTTATCACTCTCATGTGCTTTGTATCTAGAAAAGCAGCTTTTCAGGCCCCAGTTTTCTCATCTGAAAAAGGAAGGGATTGGACTAGGTCATTGAGTTTCAAGCCCTTTTCTGTTTTGTTTGGAGCAGAGCAGGGTGAAAGCTGGTAGAGGCATTGAGCACCCCAGTTTGACTCACCCCTTCTCCAAGCCCAACTCTATGGAGTCTGCTTTGGACACTGTTAGGAACACACCCTGAGCTTCCTGGACTAGCTGGTCCAGATGGTCCCTTCCCAGCTCTGAGGGTCCCTTTTTGTTAAATTGAATATAGTTGTAGGGTAACAAAGTGACAGTGAGGGTCTGGAACGCTGCGAGTACAGTAGCAGACAAGTACAGTAGCAGACGTACTCGCAAAGGAAGTGGTTTACTACAAGCAGGAAGTCTCTAAAATACAGTAAGAAGCCATGTGGAATTCCAGACACTGAGATGCTGTAGCAAGTGACAGAGTAATCTGGCTGGGACACTTAGTGAACAGTGGTTTTTCTCTCCTTTAAACAAAGACACTTTGGGGAAGAGTTTCAGCTAGTAATTCAAGTCCATACGAATTTCCTATATGACTATTGTGGATACATGACTGATGAAGCCCCAGTCCTACTTGAAATTCATCATGCAGATCAAGTTGCCCTTAATCAGTGTCTGTCCCAAAATACCTAAAGTCAAATTTTCTACACATCTTCTACTCTTAAGTCCTTTAGAAAGAAGTTTCTGATTCCCTATGTCCTTTATATGTTGGGTTTGGGGAATTTTTAGTGCCTGTATATACAGGTTTTTCAACATTTTATGTTGTAAGTCAGAATAGTTCTCATACTCCACGAAGAGGAGCACGGAAGGGGCCTCTCTGAATGAGCCATCATGTCTAGAGTGACTTTCCCAGAAAGATAACCAGCGTCAAGTAGCCTAAGAGGAAACTTTCCAGAGGATTCGCCAGCCCCTAGTCCATACTCCACCACCCTGACTCCCCTTCCTGCTGTCACTGCAGTTACAGGAAGCTCTATATCTTCCGTAGCATCTAAAATCACAACAGCCATAACTGTTTCCTCCCACTTCCTCCAATATCCAGCTTCAGTCTAAAATTTTTCCCAGTGCTGCAAATGTCAATTGTAACATACAAAGAAGTATTCAGAAAAGAATGCATATTTCTCTTATAAATACTTTCTTTCATAACCGCTTTGACTATAACTTAAAAATCTAAGTTGACTGCATTCCGATAAATATTCTTCACCTTTAAGGCCAGAAGAGTATGTTGAAAGAGTGGTTAGACATCCTATTAATTTTCTTGATACTGCATTAGGAATTGAAGTTGACAAATTCAGAGAGCTATTAGCTTTTGAATAGTGCATGAAAATAATGAATTTGACTAGTATTTCACAAAAACTACAGAGCTACTAACATCAACTGTGTACCACAAATTGTCTTGGAATAAAGAAATCTTCATAAAATTGCCCAAACTTGAATTGATCAGAGCCCTTGGACTGCTTCATCTATACTATGTGCCTATGCAGTTGAAATCGCTTTCTCTCTCTTTCTTTCTCTCTCAAACCATATAACACGTTGCTAAAGTTAAATTTAGTGATATATTTCATAAACTATTAATATGGTCAAACTCACCAGAAGAGGGGGGAAAATCAAGAACAAATTATCACCTAAGCAAATTATCCATTTATGAAAGCTAGTAATCTGTTCCAGAATTCCCTCCTCTACTTCTCCCTCTCTCTTGCTTGGGAAAAGTTGCCATGGAGTTTGACATAGCCGGTGCAGCTGGTATCTACAAACTCCTCCCACTTGAGAGGTTGGGTTATAGTAAAAAGGAGAGTGTTAGGCACTGGTTTGGAGGTTTTCTTGTTGTTTGCTTGGGTTTTTATTTGAGACAGGGTCTCACTATGTTGCCCAGGCTGTTCTCAAACTCCTGAGCTCAAGTGATTCTCCTGCCTTAGCCTCCCGAGTAGCTGGGATTACAGGCGTGAGCCACTATGCCTGACCTGAAAAGGGGAGTGTTGAAGGAAAAGATGCCACAAGGCAGAGGAGAGCTGACCATGTCTTTTCCTCCTTTCTCTTCTTAGCTTTCAGTTCTCCCCAGATAACTGCAGAGGAGATAGATCAAGGACAACCTCAGCCATCAAAGCCACGATGAGGACATGGCTTCGAGTCACTCTATACTATGTATATGCCATGAGTGTCATGACCGAATCAAGTAGGTGACAGATAAAATCCAAGTGTTTGTTTATCAGAGAAGAGAGAAGAAAAAAGTGAGAAGCATAAAAATGAAGGAGGAAGCATAAAAGTGAAGAAATTAATGAATTTCCCAAACATAATGTTGAGTAAAAGAAATCAGATATGAAAAAACACATTTAGTATGACTTTATGTACATAAAGTTCAAAAATAGCCACAAGTCTTTTTATCCTATTGGGAAGTGGTGGCTGGAGCAGGCACAAGAGGACTTGGAGTTAATATCATGGTTCTTGATGGAGGCTCAAGTCACTGTTTAGATGGGCATGGGCACGTTCAGTGAGCTGAGATCCATCGGGCTGTACACTTAGGATGTGTGCACTTTTCTCCATGGATGTTTGTACTGAAATAAGTTAAACATTAAAAACCTAAGGGGTGGTCATTGAAAATATGGCTGAAATAGATCATGCCTGGGTAGAAAAGTGTCCCATCCAAAAGCAAATATTTTATAGAGAAATGCACAAGTCAAAAAATTTCATTTGGAAGAAAGTTGAAGATTTCTACTGCAGCCCTTGGTCAAGTCATGACATTTTAAAACAAAAACCAGATATACAGTTTTCCCTTTTATTTTGTGTGTTCCTGCTTCTCTCTGTTCTGTAACTATGTATTTAAAAACTCATTCCCATACCCAGGCTAGTTGGGAGCTCAGCACTACACACTTGTAAAACCATGTACAGTGGCTTATTTTACAAGATAAGAAAAAGTATACTTGAAAGGGTAATCCATCCTGGTTGGCAGAAATTTTTTCTTGTTGGCTTTTACTATCTAAAACTCTTTATGAACAGAGACAAAACTGTCTCCAAGGACAATAATCGTGTGAGAAGTGCTGATACTGGGGAGAAGGTTATCTAGGTACAGGAGACATTTAAAGGTTTTACATGAATCACTTGAGACCAGTTTTACTGGCCATTGTTCTATTTTTCATTTAATTTATACCTGACACTTTAACACCTACAGCACACTGCATCCTTAATACCAGAATAAAAACAAATAAAAATCCCTTCTTCATACCTGCCCAATTTCTGAAAAAAGGTACAAAAATTAATACATGCTTACTAATTACTTTTTTTTCTGGATGATGATTTAAAATTTTAAGTCTTTTTGTTAACTGACACCAAAAGTGGGCTTTTTGAATATGTGCTAATGCATTGGCTTACAAAGAATCTAGTGGCTTCCTCACTGCAGCCCACATGGTACAGTATTCTATGTATGTAGGCTGAACACTGCGGTTTGCTTCTTTTCAGCATGAGCTACTCCTGCACTCTGAACTGAGAAAGAATCTGAATACATCAGGCTCAATTAATAATGTGACAGCTTTATTGGCAGCAGGATGAAGTTGAACATACTGAACCAAGATAAGAGATGAGAAAGACACCAGTTTTGGCCATTTGGGTTTCTTGCTAATGTTGAAAAAAAAAAAACTAATACAAGATTTTAAACACTCTTATCTGGATGTTTAAACTTTAGGGATTAGAATAAAGCCCCCCTCCAAAAAAGCAGGAGCAAAGAAATGTTAGGTGATTTATAAAAAATTGGAGGACTAAGGACTGTTAAGACATTAGAATAGGAATCACTGAAGGAGTGTGTGTTGCCTTCTCTGGAGATATTAAAGCTTAGTATAGACCCACCTGTTTAATTTCTTTCATATCTGTTAGTGCAAACTCCCTAACAAAGTCTAAATGAACAAACATTCTTTTTGATGCTCGTGACGTGCAAAGGGCTGGGTTTATCCCGGGCAGGGGTAGGGAGGGAAATGAAATACAGAACTGAATACAAAACATTTAAATTGTAAATTCTCCAAGGCCACATGCTATGTCTCTCATAGAATCCTAGCACGATGTTAAGCATATAGTAAAGGCGCAATTTTTTAAACAAGCAAGAACTTAATAAAAACAAACATTGAGTAATATTGTATGATTCCACTTATATGAGGTACCTAGAATAGGCAAATTCATAATAACAGAAAGCAGAATACAAGTTACCAAGGATGGGGCAGGGGAGAATGAAGAGTTGTTTACTGGGTATAGAATTTCTATTTGGAATAATGAAAAAGTTCTAGAAATGTACGGTGGTGATGGTTACATAATATCATGAATGTACATAATGCCAATGAATTGAACATCTAAAAATGGTTAAAATGATAAAATTTACGTTATATATATTTTACTACATTGAAATTTTTAAATAAAAATAAAAATAGCAAGCATTGAGTGCTTGGCTAGACAGGAATAGTGAACTGTTTTCTCAGGAGGCTCTAGCCACCTCTTCACAGAAGCCTCTGGAACCCAAGCACCCCCACGTGTGGGAAGCCCCGCAAAGGAGCAGCAGTGCTGGTACTGGGGCTGGCTGATTTGTAGGTAATAGAAGCTGTCTCTCCCACTTGAAGATGGTGTATTTGCTAATAGAGACTTCTGCTTCCTGTGAAGCAATCTTTCACACACTTGAAGACACTAGCCCCAAAATACTATGGGCTGGAGGTGGGAAGACCTGAACTTTGGTCTCAAATATCTTACTTGCTGCCTGGGCAATTTAGACTTCTCAGGCCTCAGTTACCATTTCTGCAAGTTAAAGGAATGGGACCAGATGTTACATGGCTGCTACCAGCTCTACAATTCTCTGATTCAAAGGTATCCCTTAACTGCTTTTCTCTAAATAGTTTCTACTTAATTACATAATGAAAATAGTTTCCCATTTCTTTAGCCATCACTATTATTTTCTGGACTCTACAGTTTCTTCCTGTTTTTTTCCCAGAGGAACAGTGATCCAAAGTAAATATAGCAGTTTCATAAATTTATGATTAGTGGATAATATGGAGGAGACATCACTTGTAAATTCTAATTATAACACAAAATCACTGTAACTTTTACTTCCTTTCTTTTTTAGTTTTTTAAGCAATAATATACTGCTGGCTCATTTTTGACCATTGATAAATTATGGTAGTTGAGAATCAAGTTATATAGTAACAGTAACTATTTTCCTTTCCTTAGATCATTTGGGTGATAAAAAGCAGCCCAGTGACTCCTCCATCCATAGGTAAGGATGAGACTATGAACAAAGAAACTTTTATAACCACTTTCCATTATTTAGAAGCAATAAGGAGCGTGCAGTGGTTCTTCACCTAACCTGTAGTTCCTCTATTCAGATTAAATTCATTCCACTCAGTCAAAGCTGCTAAAAAGAAAATTCTTTTTAAAAATCTTTTTCAACATCCAAGTATATTTTATGTACTATAATTTATGCCATTTCAAATTCATCAAGTGTGGCTATATCATAGAATGTGTGTATAAAGTTGTTAGGGTGAATTCAGTTTTAAAGGAGATTTTCTGTTAAAAGTCTATTTACCTACATTATAACAAATATCAATCTGATTGAGCAATTCACACTTCAATACGGTGATTTTTTAATAAATGAAGTAGATACACCAAAACCCCTAAAAGCACTTGCGGGGTAATAGACAAACTTACCCTGAATAATAAAGTAGTATGAAGAAATAGATACCATCCCAAGAAAGGGAAAAATAAAACAAAATTCATGAAATGAAAGAATGCATTCCCACTGTAAAATAATCTACCAAAAATATTTCAGTGGGATGTTTTATTAGGTTATTCTTATTTTTAAGATTTTTCTTTTTTAATTTCATGGTGGATTAAGTTTCTAAATCAGACTTCAATATATTACTATCAGAAAATACAGAAAGTTCCTGCACTATAATATATATATATATTTTTTCTTTTCTTTTCTGTTTTTTTTTTTTTTTTTTGAGACAGAGTCTCACTCTGTCACCCAGGCTGAAGTGCAGTGGCACAATCTCGGCTCACTGCAACCTCCACCTCCCAGCTTCAAGCAATTCTCATGCCTCAGCCTCCCGAATAGCTGGGATTACAGGCATGCACCATCCCGCCCAGCTAATGTTTGTATTTTTAGTAGAGACAGGGTTTCACCATGTCGGTCAGGCTGGTCTCAAACTCCTGACCTCAGGTGATCTGCCCACCTTGGCCTCCCAAAGTGCTGGGATTACAGGCGTAAGCTACAGCGACCGGCCCATATTTTCTTTAGGTAATGATAAATCATATTTGAAGAATGCCTAAAAGGAATCCAATACTGCCTCAAATGCACAAACCTATTAGAACAGATTTTATTCAAAATTACAATGATAAAATAATATACAGAGGCAAAAATCTTTATTAAATGACCACACCATAATCTGATACAATACTTCCTGATAAAAGAGAATGAATTATGAACTGGTTTATAACATATTTTTTAAAACCCAAGGTAAAACAAAACTAGTAGATAAACTGCATACATTATCATTTAAATTTTGTGATTATTTTCTATGTGGACATCCTCTTCCGTATACCCATTGCCCTGTGCTTTTCACTGTATTTCTCAGCTACACTCCTCCTCCTGGATTGTGAACATTCGCTACAAAATCTCTTTAAAACACCAATGCCACCACAAACTTCCCATTGCTGCCAGGCTCTCAGATTGTCTAGCTCTCCCAGAAAAGGAGAATAAGCTAAATTCACAATAAGGTGGATCTAAGGGATAACAGGTCTTTTCCAACCTGATTCCTCCCTTCTCCTCCACCCTCACCTCTCACCACTGGGCCTCTCCTTTACAGCCACAGTGAACTGCTTTCTCACAATTCCATGCCTGCCATGATTGGCTCCTTCAACCTTCACCGTGGAGCAGCCTTCACACACATGCTTCCTCTTCATGCTTTGGCTCTTTTTTTTTTTTTTTTTTTTATTATACTCTAAGTTTTAGGGTACATGTGCATATTGTGCAGGTTAGTTACATATGTATACATGTGCCATGCTGGTGCGCTGCACCCACTAATGTGTCATCTAGCATTAGGTATATCTCCCAATGCTATCCCTCCCCCCTCCCCCGACCCCACCACAGTCCCCAGAGTGTGATATTCCCCTTCCTGTGTCCATGTGATCTCATTGTTCAATTCCCACCTATGAGTGAGAATATGCGGTGTTTGGTTTTTTGTTCTTGCGATAGTTTACTGAGAATGATGGTTTCCAATTTCATCCATGTCCCTACAAAGGATATGAACTCATCATTTTTTATGGCTGCATAGTATTCCATGGTGTATATGTGCCACGTTTTCTTAATCCAGTCTATCATTGTTGGACATTTGGGTTGGTTCCAAGTCTTTGCTATTGTGAATAGTGCCGCAATAAACATACGTGTGCATGTGTCTTTATAGCAGCATGATTTATACTCATTTGGGTATATACCCAGTAATGGGATGGCTGGGTCAAATGGTATTTCTAGTTCTAGATCCCTGAGGAATCGCCACACTGACTTCCACAATGGTTGAACTAGTTTACAGTCCCACCAACAGTGTAAAAGTGTTCCTATTTCTCCGCATCCTCTCCAGCACCTGTTGTTTCCTGACTTTTTAATGATTGCCATTCTAACTGGTGTGAGATGATATCTCATAGTGGTTTTGATTTGCATCTCTCTGATGGCCAGTGATGATGAGCATTTTTTCATGTGTTTTTTGGCTGCATAAATGTCTTCTTTTGAGAAGTGTCTGTTCATGTCCTTCGCCCACTTTTTGATGGGGTTGTTTGTTTTTTTCTTGTAAATTTGTTTGAGTTCATTGTAGATTCTGGATATTAGCCCTTTGTCAGATGAGTAGGTTGCGAAAATTTTCTCCCATGTTGTAGGTTGCCTGTTCACTCTGATGGTAGTTTCTTTTGCTGTGCAGAAGCTCTTTAGTTTAATTAGATCCCATTTGTCAATTTTGTCTTTTGTTGCCATTGCTTTTGGTGTTTTGGACATGAAGTCCTTGCCCACGCCTATGTCCTGAATGGTAATGCCTAGGTTTTCTTCTAGGGTTTTTATGGTTTTAGGTTTAACGTTTAAATCTTTAATCCATCTTGAATTGATTTTTGTATAAGGTGTAAGGAAGGGATCCAGTTTCAGCTTTCTACATATGGCTAGCCAGTTTTCCCAGCACCATTTATTAAATAGGGAATCCTTTCCCCATTGCTTGTTTTTCTCAGGTTTGTCAAAGATCAGATAGTTGTAGATATGCGGCATTATTTCTGAGGGCTCTGTTCTGTTCCATTGATCTATATCTCTGTTTTGGTACCAGTACCATGCTGTTTTGGTTACTGTAGTCTTGTAGTATAGTTTGAAGTCAGGTAGTGTGATGCCTCCAGCTTTGTTCTTTTGGCTTAGGATTGACTTGGCAATGCGGGCTCTTTTTTGGTTCCATATGAACTTTAAAGTAGTTTTTTCCAATTCTGTGAAGAAAGTCATTGGTAGCTTGATGGGGATGGCATTGAATCTGTAAATTACCTTGGGCAGTATGGCCATTTTCACGATATTGATTCTTCCTACCCATGAGCATGGAATGTTCTTCCAATTGTTTGTGTCCTCTTTTATTTCCTTGAGCAGTGGTTTGTAGTTCTCCTTGAAGAGGTCCTTCACATCCCTTGTAAGTTGGATTCCTAGGTATTTTATTCTCTTTGAAGCAATTGTGAATGGGAGTTCACCCATGATTTGGCTCTCTGTTTGTCTGTTGTTGGTGTATAAGAATGCTTGTGATTTTTGTACATTGATTTTGTATCCTGACACTTTCCTGAAGTTGCTTATCAGCTTAAGGAGATTTTGGGCTGAGACGATGGGGCTTTCTAGATAAACAATCATGTCGTCTGCAAACAGGGACAATTTGACTTCCTCTTTTCCTAATTGAATACCCTTTATTTCCTTCTCCTGCCTGATTGCCCTGGCCAGAACTTCCAACACTATGTTGAATAGGAGCGGTGAGAGAGGGCATCCCTGTCTTGTGCCCGTTTTCAAAGGGAATGCTTCCAGTTTTTGCCCATTCAGTATGATATTGGCTGTGGGTTTGTCATAGATAGCTCTTATTATTTTGAAATACGTCCCATCAATACCTAATTTATTGAGAGTTTTTAGCATGAAGGGTTGTTGAATTTTGTCAAAGGCTTTTTCTGCATCTATTGAGATAATCATGTGGTTTTTGTCTTTGGCTCTGTTTATATGCTGGATTACATTTATTGATTTGCGTATATTGAACCAGCCTTGCATCCCAGGGATGAAGCCCACTTGATCATGGTGGATAAGCTTTTTGATGTGCTGCTGGATTCGGTTTGCCAGTATTTTATTGAGGATTTTTGCATCAATGTTCATCAAGGATATTGGTCTAAAATTCTCTTTTTTGGTTGTGTCTCTGCCTGGCTTTGGTATCAGAATGATGCTGGCCTCATAAAATGAGTTAGGGAGGATTCCCTCTTTTTCTATTGATTGGAATAGTTTCAGAAGGAATGGTACCAGCTCCTCCTTGTACCTCTGGTAGAATTCGGCTGTGAATCCATCTGGTCCTGGACTCTTTTTGGTTGGTAAACTATTGATTATTGCCACAATTTCAGAGCCTGTTATTGGTCTATTCAGAGATTCAACTTCTTCCTGGTTTAGTCTTGGGAGAGTGTATGTGTCAAGGAATGTATCCATTTCTTCTAGATTTTCTAGTTTATTTGCATAGAGGTGTTTGTAGTATTCTCTGATGGTAGTTTGTATTTCTGTGGGATCGGTGGTGATATCCCCTTTATCATTTTTTATTGTGTCTATTTGATTCTTCTCTCTTTTTTTCTTTATTAGTCTTGCTAGCGGTCTATCAATTTTGTTGATCCTTTCAAAAAACCAGCTCCTGGATTCATTGATTTTTTGAAGGGTTTTTTGTGTCTCTATTTCCTTCAGTTCTGCTCTGATTTTAGTTATTTCTTGCCTTCTGCTAGCTTTTGAATGTGTTTGCTCTTGCTTTTCTAGTTCTTTTAATTGTGATGTTAGGGTGTCAATTTTGGATCTTTCCTGCTTTCTCTTGTAGGCATTTAGTGCTATAAATTTCCCTCTACACACTGCTTTGAATGTGTCCCAGAGATTCTGGTATGTGGTGTCTTTGTTCTCGTTGGTTTCAAAGAACATCTTTATTTCTGCCTTCATTTCGTTATGTACCCAGTAGTCATTCAGGAGCAGGTTGTTCAGTTTCCATGTAGTTGAGCGGCTTTGAGTGAGATTCTTAATCCTGAGTTCTAGTTTGATTGCACTGTGGTCTGAGAGATAGTTTGTTATAATTTCTGTTCTTTTACATTTGCTGAGGAGAGCTTTACTTCCAACTATGTGGTCAATTTTGGAATAGGTGTGGTGTGGTGCTGAAAAAAATGTATATTCTGTTGATTTGGGGTGGAGAGTTCTGTAGATGTCTATTAGGTCTGCTTGGTACAGAGCTGAGTTCAATTCCTGGGTATCCTTGTTGACTTTCTGTCTCGTTGATCTGTCTAATGTTGACAATTAAAAGACACAGACTGGCAAGTTGGATAAAGAGTCAAGACCCATCAGTGTGCTGTATTCAGGAAACCCATCTCACGTGCAGAGACACACATAGGCTCAAAATAAAAGGATGGAGGAAGATCTACCAAGCCAATGGAAAACAAAAAAAGGCAGGGGTTGCAATCCTAGTCTCTGATAAAACAGACTTTAAACCAACAAAGATCAAAAGAGACAAAGAAGGCCATTACATAATGGTAAAGGGATCAATTCAACAAGAGGAGCTAACTATCCTAAATATTTATGCACCCAATACAGGAGCACCCAGATTCATAAAGCAAGTCCTCAGTGACCTACAAAGAGACTTAGACTCCCACACATTAATAATGGGAGACTTTAACACCCCACTGGCTAACTCTTAATCTTCATTCAGAGAGACTCCAGGAAAACTTCTTGACACCGTCTACCTCACACCCCATAGCTGGGTGTGGTGTCTCATTTAGGTATGCATGTACAGATATATCCTTTGTATGTGTGTATATACATATATATCACTTATTACAATGTATACTAATCATAGCACTATTACAAAGTATCACTGTTTTTACTGTGTCTTTCAATCGGCTGAAAGCTATTTCAGGGCAAAGATCATTTAACAGTCAATTTTATATCCCTAACATCTAACATAATGCTTCACTTATAGTCATTGCTTTTAAATGTTTAGTAAATGAATAGCTAGATAAACAAATAGTCAAGGGCAGGGACAGGTTGTCCTGTTCCTAAAGTACATCATGGAAGTGGCCACCTCCTGCTGCAAAAAGTGAGCCATTCCTGATTTTCACTACATTCTGTACTTGTAGTCAAGAGAAGTAACCATTCAGAGATAGAGATAGATGGGTCAATGGATGGAAGGATGGATGGATGGATGGATGGATGGATGGATGGATGGATGGATGGATGGATAGATAGATAGATAGATAGATAGATAGATAGATAGATAGATAGACAGACAGACAGATAGATAGACACAGATTCTTTGTAGCCTAGGAACAAACAGCCTAAAATATCTTTTTAAATATCCCACTAGATATCAAGGCAATGACTGAAAGGGGTTGGAAAGGCATTAAAACCCAGCTATACCTACTTTAAAATTTTATATAGAGTAGTCCAAAACTATGGTGGTACCCAGTATACTGCAAGGGTACCAAATACCTGTTGAAATAAATTGCAAACAAGTCCAGGTACAGTGGTTCACACCTGTAATCTCAGCACTTTGGGAAGCCACGGTGGGTGGATCACTTGAGGTCAGGAGTTCGTGACCAGCCTGGCCAACATAGCAAAATCCCAACTCTACTAAAAATATAAAAATTAGCTGGGCATGGTGGCGTATGCCTGTAATCCCAGCTACTTGGGAGGCCGAGGCATGAAAATTGCTTGAACCTGGGAGGCAGAGGTTGCAGTGAGGTGAGTTCAGGCCACAGCACTCCAGCCTGGGCAAGAGGGTTAGGCTCTGTCTCAAAAAAATAAATAAATAAAATAAATTGCAAACAAAAATGAAGTGCAGATTAGGTCTAATCAAATTATTTTTTACTTAAGACAGTATCTCCCAACTTGAAAACTACCAGCTTCCGATCATAATAAGGTATCTTTGAATTCACATTTACAGGCAGCATTGCCAACAGACAAACCATATGCTTCTCAAACACAGGGATGACTATTTGTCAAGTACAAATAGAGGATGGTATGATTAATAAAATCCAAATACGTTTAAAGATGGTATTGAATTTATAATCAGTTTATCATTAAATATTTTCTTAGCTAATATAAAATAAGTATTAATGAGTCCTTGAAAATGTTGGCATTATTAAAAGTATCTCGTGCCAAGAAAAGGATTGAGAATTGCTAGTCTAGGGTTCTTTATAAACTCTGCAGAGGAGGTTTGAGTTTCTGGGTTCCAGTGCCTTAATGTGTATATATGTAGGCTAACCTCTTTACTTCCTTTCACAAAGATTCTTAACAAAAATACTTGCAATGTATTAAGTTTTACTGATGAACATAACAAGAATGGACTTACATTTGGAGTAATAAATTTGAAGTAATAAAAGGCAAGTAAACAACTATATACACACATGCTAAAATCCATATAAAAATCTATTAATTTAATTTATTGGGTCTCCTACATAGATCTGCTCATCTACAGAGTGTACTGAAACTTTCCCTTAGCACGAAGTTAACTGAGCCCCTCAGGCTGCTTTGAACCTGCTTTCCCACTTCCACTTTGTAAAGAGCTGCAAGTTCATTAACCAAGTGGTCCTTCTTTAACAGCAATAACAACAAATAGGAAGGAAGAATAGATAGGAACTCATCAGCAACTCTAAGGCAGGTTGATTACCTGGTGCTCCTTAAACTGGGGGCTCTTGTTAAATTCACTTTGCTTCCTGAAGAAAGCTGGGCCAAGATGGGGTCTGCTGTATCCTAGATATAATCGTCCATGTCAAGGGTTTGCAGCTGATAGTGTAAACCAAAAGAAGATATGTCAGCATCTAACTACCCAGATCCCTGCAGAGGTCTTACAACTGTCAAGGCATTTGCAGTACTGCACGGTACTTGGCTACCTGCACAGCTATGACCTCCTGCAAATGGTCACCTTGTGTACCAGTTTTGCCTTGCCATGGGGAGCTCATCTTTTCAACTCTAAGAGGTAGGGAGAGTCTGATAACTAGAGGGACTGAAGCATCTGAAACTTTCTTTAGAAGGGACCTCTGTCCTACGGGGAAGGTGATTCTCCTTAAGGATGGAGAAGGACCATCTCTCTTCCCATGACAGGACCTAGAGACAAAAGGGCTTCTCAGAACTCCATGCCCAGAGGCTGCCAAGTAATTGGTCCTGGTGCTCTGCAGCCAGAGGCTGATGGCCTCTCTCTGCTGGGGCCAGTAATCACAGTCTGCCAGGCCTGGATGTCCAGTGGGCTGGGTCTGATGCTCTGTCTGCCTTTGTCCCCTATAAGGCTGTTGCTGTCCTTCTCTTTCTTCCCCCCACTCCTCTCTGACATTATCTCTCTTTCTCACTCTGCCTCTCAATTTCTGTGTGTGTGAGTGTGTGTGTGTGCATGTGCATCTACCTTTCTTTCTTTCCTGTGTCCGTGTGCACACGTCTGTGCACATCTGCCTCTGAATCTCTGTCTTGTCTGCATGTGTGCCTATGTTTGTGTGCATTTGTCTTTATGTATGTCTGTCCTTTTGTGTGTCTGTCTTTCTTCTGTGTATAGGTCTGTCTGTATGTGGGCATGTGTGTGTCTGTGTGTCTTTCCTTCTATCTCTCTGTCTCTCTACGGGTCTCTGTCCCTCTTTGTGTGCATGTCTGTGTGTCTCCTATTTGTGTATGGCTGTGTTGTTTCTTTCTCTTTGTGTCACTCCCTTTTCATGTCTGTTTCTCTGTGTCTTTCTCTTTATTGGGGGCTGTATGTCTGTGTGTGTATGTGTGTCTCTTCCTCTCTGTGCATCTCTCCATGTATCTCTCTCTGTGTGTCTCTGTCCCTCTGTATGTGTGTGACTCTCTCTGTGTTTCTCTCTGGGTATATGTTCCCTCCCTCTCTTGCCTGTCTATCCTCCCTCCCTCCTTTTTCCCTTCACACTCCTGATACAAAACACATCCCCATCAGAAGCACTTCCCATCACTTACTCCGATGGGGGTTGGGGGCTGGGGGACTATCCTTCATCAAGATGCAAATCAGGTATTCCTGAGGGTAGGTGAGGAGTGAAAAACTTCCTTCTACCCCCCAAATTCTGATTCATTTATTTCTTTCCTGTTGTAAGTCGATTCCTGTTTCCTTTCATTTAAAAACTCCATATTTCTATTCTCTTTTTAAAAGATTTGTACTCTCTAATTTGGGATTTGTATTTAATGGTTTTCAGTTGTCATTTTTATCTTTTATAATTTTAAGCTTTAATTTGCCGGTATTAGCCTTTCATGTCACATTAAATCTTGTTTATTTTGCCTCCATATTAATTTTGATTTTTAACATTTTACCTTTGTCATATTTTGCACATATGTAACATTTTTATTCTAATCATTTTTCTATTCTCTTTTCTTATTCTTCACTTTTTAAACTTTAACTTGCTATCTTTGAGTTTTCCCTCATTTTCCTACTTATATTTTATTTGATCTGATTTTGCTTTATGATTTGTTCTTATAATGGCTATTGAGAATGATGGCCAAGAGGGTGGCAGTAGCAGTGAGACCCACACCGAAATTAGGGGTCACCAGAATCCCTCTTCCCTGCCACCCCCTGCCAATAACATCTACAGCCAACTTTCCACTCTTTCTCATATAGCTCTCCATAAACCTCTCGCCAGGTAGGCCCAGGAAGGTTTTGAGACCCAGGTGCTAGAATTTGCCAGTCTCCCTCAAAGAATGGAGGGGGTCATCCTGGGAAATGAGTGTCACCAGGATCAGATCCACCTTTGGGCTTAGGCCCTGTTGAGGAGATTGCAGAATTCATCTGTGCTTCTCCGTGGAGGCCTTGTTGGGTCTCCTTGTAGGAAGAACCACAGCCAAGAGAAATGCCTGTCTGTTCCCGGACTCACCCCAGGGGTGCCCAATCAGACTGTTTTACTTCCCACCCAGTCTCAAAAGGCAACCTAGTCCTAAGAATTTTTAAAATCTAAGTTCCACAATGTATCTCTGTCTCTCAAACCCATCATTTCATCTCATCAAGGAGCCCAGGGGTGAATTTTTTTTAAGCAAATAATTATTTAATGCAGTGAACAATTTATCTTAGTCTATGTTTTGTATACACAGGTCATCATAGATTTCTCAAAGAATGAAAGGGAAGAAATGCTACTTCACTACTCCTGAAGTTTCTCTTCATATAGAATAAACTCCATTTCTCTCTCTCCCTCTTTTTTTTTTCTCTCCCCACCCTTTCCCCCTCAAGTATACTTGAAAAGAATAAGTTGGGCATGCTCACTTCATCTCCTCCCTCTTTTTGCTTGGGAGCTGTCAAACCTTCCAAGAGCATGCACTTTTACTTTATGCCATAAGGTATACAAAGACCTGCCTCAACACAGGGAGGCCTATCCAATTCTGGGGACCACTATTAGGAAACCCACCTGCCCACAGTATTAATACATTCTCTAATACTAATACCTGATTTATTACTAATAAAAGTGACTTGGATCTCTATATATTGACTTTTTGATCTTTCAGGGTTCAAAATTTGGAGCATTAAGAGAGAATGTGATATATTGGATCCCTTTATAAACAGATGAGAAGACTATTTGATTCTCCTGGTCACATGTTGATTCATCCAGTTTATTTATTCATTCATTTAATACACATTTACTGAGGGCTCCCTTTGGTCCAAACACATTGCTTAGCAGAATATTGTGCAGAACACTGACACCTGGCAATCTCTCTCAAGCTGGCTTATTCTCACCCAGTCTTCAGGGTTGTAGGCAAGAATGAAAAGCAAATCCTAATCACATGTGCTCTTAATGTAATGCTGGATTCCAATAGTGAAAAATATCACATCTCCAATGGGAGTGTTGAATTCTATGGTACTCTGAGTGCCAATAATCCCCACCTAAGGAGGAAAAAACTATCTATTTAACTTTAAGCAAATAAAATGTACACTTGTTGTCTTGGTGAAATTATTGATCACACCCCTTTGACTGTCCAGAGAGCCTAATTTGGATGATCAATTATATGGATACCATCAGAAAATCCAATTTATTATTCAATCAAATATTCATTAAGAATAAGTATTAATAGTGAAGAACAGACGAATAAAAGCACATGGTTATACAGGAACTCCTTATAAGGGTAAGAGTGGAAGGTAGAGGCCATCCTTCACTCCTTCACATAAAATCTCCTAGCCCCACAAAAATCAAAAGATATTAAAGTAAGTGCTCCTTAAAATGTATTAGTGAGTAAGGCATCATGAAAAAGGGCATCAATCGCCATGTCCTAATTAAGGGTTACAAATGATGTTCCCTAACACAACAGGTAGAAGATTTACATTTCAGTGTTTCACTACCCCCATGCCTTCCTCTGCACTTGCTTGGCAAAAATCATCCTTCTAGGATAGCAACATCCTAACAATCTTCCTTAAAAGGGTTAAAGACTATATTTGTACACAAATGCTCACACACAAACATGACAAAGTAAAGTCTAATCCTTGAAATATAATTTGTGAAAAATCACAATGCCCTTTTCCGATTTATTATAGCTTTCACTTCTAAAAACATAAAACAAGACTTTTGCTATGATGACATAATGAATAAATTCCAGTCTGGTTTTAGTTCTTTCTTTCAAGATGGAGAAAGGTACAGGCTTCTTAGAGCTAAGCTCATTCCATCTGTGTATACTATTGTTGGTTTCCCGAGGGAAACCCATGAAACTCTGGAAGAACCACAGTCAAATCATTAGAGAAACATGCTACACAGCTTGTCTTTTCTTATGGTACCCATATAATTGATCATCCAAACCAGGTTTTCTGGAGAGTTAAAGACGGTGATCAATAATTTCACCAAGAAAACAAGTATACATCAGGGATACCCTGGACAAACTGGAATATGGCCACCCTACTGATGCTCCATGTCTCCCCAGCTACCCACATTCACATTGCACTGAGAGGCAATCTGTTATTTCACACTCTGCCAAGGGCGGCACCTTTCACTATGCATTACCTGAGGATGCAAAACTGAAAACCTAAGCAAGCATTCCAGATCTTCCATCATGGTGATAACATCTTTACCACTTCTGAAATATTCTTAGCCTCTTTTCATGCACATCTTGAATCTTTCTGTCTCATTAAACTCAGAAACTACCTTGCAGGATCTTCATGGTTTTCTCTGTAGCAACTGTGCCCAGAAAGCCATTAGGACTGAGTCATTTTATGTTATTAACAACTGAAGCAAAACGAAAAATTCCTCCCATTTGCTTCTTTTTGCATTAAGAAGTAAATCACCCCCCCCCCCCCGCCAAAAAAAAGTTTGGAGATAAATTACCTTTCCACATCCACTTAACACATAGTGCATTTCATTTGCATTAAAACGAAAATGTGGCTGTCATAATCCATTATAATTCTGTTACAAATTCTGAGTGCACTAAAGGTAAGGGCATTTTGATGCTTACAAAAGAAAAAGGAAAAAGAAACCCCATTAGCCAACATCCTACTTAGCAATTCATACAATCATCATAATAATTAACATTTATGCAGCCCTCACCAAGAACATGCAATTTTCTACGGCTTTTACATTTATTATGTCACTTCTTCCTCACAACAACCTTATAATGTCAGTGGCATTATTCTCCCCATCTTACAGATGATGGAATTCAAATCTAAGTTGGTTGAGGAATTTACCTAGGTCCTCACAAGCTAAGAAATGGCAATGATACAATATAACCAGTTGAGCATTTAAAAACAAATGAAAAGAGAACTCTCACAGGCATCCAGTCTTTTCATTAATATAATTATCTATACCAGAGAAGTTTAGTTCCTAAATCCACATTGAAGCCTCAATCAACCATTGAAAACATGATTGCATTATCTGCAGCAAATTTCTTCCCATAGAAAGAATGGGTGAGTTTATGACTCTTGAGAGATACAAATTATAGCAAGTTTTCTGTTAATTATATCATAATCTTTCTGCCAATACATTATAGTTTCCTATGGAAGACTAAAATTAAAGGAAATAAAAAACAACTCAATTTCAACAAGATTTTGTCATTAGGAAGAATATAAGATGTACTTTTGAGTCCATTATCCAACTTTTATTATATATACCTATTAGTCAATTTTCCCTGGACTTAGCTGACTGCTGCCCCAGAAACACAAATACTCATGCTCTCTTTGTGTCATAACTTCAGGGTGATATGTGTTTTCAGATATGGTACATAATACATACCTTCAGGGCGATACGTGTTTTCAGATATGGTACCTACTTTAAGTTACCTGGAAGCAATGTCTCAGTTACAGAAAAAAATACATCATCAACATTCAAAGTCTGAAGTTCATCATGTGTGGAAAAGAAGAGCAAGAAAAAACAATCTTCATTCCCCACATTCTTTATCCAGTATAGTATATTTTTAGGGAAGAAGATTACTTGGCCAGCTATAACACTGTGCGTGTAACTACTTCACCATCATCATCAACCACCCCAATCTATGCTGTTCCCTAAAATATAAGCAGAAAAACATAACCAACATCACTTTGGAGCAATGTTTCTCAACATCTTTTCATTACTTTCCCTTTAAGGTATGCTTTTAGACTTTTTTTCTATTACCACCCTATGCAATTTTAATACTGTACATATACTGTAGATCAGTATACCGTATAAATCCATTGTTTATATACTCTATGCATATCTATTCTTTATACATAAAAAGGGTAAGACTTTTGTCTCCCTCAAAAGTTGTTGCCCCCTTGGGGGCAATATCACCTCCTATTAAGACTGCATGTTTTACACTTTGGGAGGCCGAGGCAGGTGGATCACCTAAGGTCAGGAGTTCGAGAACAGCCTGGCCAACATGGTGAAACCTCGTCTCTACTACAAATACAAAATTAGTCAGGCGTGGTGGCTTATGCCTATAATCCCAGCTACTTGGGAGGCTGAGGCAGGAGAATCACTTGAACCTGGGAGGCGGAAGTTGCAGTGAGTGGAGACCGTGCCATTCCACTCCAACCTGGGCAACAAGAGCGAAACTCCGTCTCAGAAAACAAAACAAAAACAAAGACTGCATATTTTAAAGTTTAAAAAGACTGAAGCCACTTGGGGAGGATGTGTGCATGTTCTTAGTTGGTTGTACAGGTACAAGTGTATGCGTTTGTGTGTATGTATACATACAGATATGTGTGTGCTTTCCAGACAAGAAAAAGTGTGCATACAATTTTAACAATAACAGCTAACATGTAGTGCCTTTAATATATGTCAGGTATTCATGTGATCACTTTACTTGATTCAGCTTGATTATTCCTTACATCAATCCTATGAAGCATGGTAATATTATTATCCCTATTTTACAAAAAAGAAAACTATGGAGAGAACATATTTTCCCAAGATTACTCAGCTAATCAATGGAAAAGCCAAGATTTGGACTTAAGCAGTCTGGCTCCAAAGTCTATACTTTTTATTCATACTAACCCATATTTTGATTCTGCTTCTATAAAATTCTATACTTTCTCATTCTCTAATCTGTTCCTCAGTATTACCCCGTGAGGTAGGCAGAGAAGATACCATTATTTCTGTTTTACCAGAGACTCATGGTCACATAGTGGAGCAGCCACAGGGGCGGATGAAAAAGAAGTTTTCGTTCTGTCTACATAGACATGTATAACTCGAATCCAGATGGGTATTAAATATACAGGGGAAAGGTGGCCCTCTAAAGAGCTCTCTCTTCATCCACAAGCAGGGAGCAGCAGCAATGTGTACCTATTCATATCAGGGCACCAATTACTCCAGATACAAAGCAGAGATAGCATGGGAGTCAATGTGATCTTTGTGGTGAAGCCAGGCACACCAGTCAGCTTGCCCACCGTACTCTCAGGGTCCCTTCCAAAGCTTCCACGAAGACACTCAGAAGCAGAAGCAATATCCCTGGACGACTGGAATAGATGGACTTCTTCACATCCTGTTGCTTGGTTTCTTACCCTGATTGTGAGAAACAGTAATCCCACAATTTTCTGGGTATCTAGAGAATATTCAACTCCATATAGCTCACATTATGAACTCTCAGGATTGCGTGAACAACCTTCTCAGGCTGAGCTAGGTCCCAGGGCCTATTTTCAACTAGAGAAGGCTCCAGGTGAATTTCCCTAGCTTGCAGTTTCTTTTTAGGGGTCTCCCCCCAGGAAAGTCCACTGAGCTGCCTTTTCTTTTTCCTATTGCTCTGCCACTGCTCAGTCAAGACCATGAAAATGAATGTTTTAGAGATTACCCTCTTTCACATATTTTGTCTATGTGGAAAAAGACAAGAAGTCAGAAAACATGAGCTTTGTCCCAGTGAATCCAGTGACTACGGTTTATCTTTAGAAAACCCAACTAATCTCTCTGACTTCCTGTTCTCTTATAAGAAAAAAAAGAATAGTTTGGTCTCATATAAAGGAAACTCTAATCTCTCTCTCTGTTGTAAATTCTAAAATTGAATGCATTGTCCAAGAATAAAAAAGAAGGCTTTATTAACTACAACAAAAACATCACGTAAAATTGGCTATGCGTCTTTAACTAGATCACCAGGGAAAGACTAAACTCTGAAAGTTCTGTGAGGGCTTAGTCACTACTGCTTCCCCAGTGTCTGGAATGCAGAAGGAAGCCAATAAATACTTTAGGGAATTAATGAATTATTTGAAATTCAAGTAAGGACACTCATTTTACCTCCAGCTATCTCTATTTCACTAGACTTCAAGAACATTCTGAAAAGTCTGAACCACAAAAGGGCATCCAATTGGCCTGATCTTAGAGACTCCAGACTGACTGAACACAGCAAACTACTTTGTTATTCTGGTTGCTGTTATTTTCTTTAGAGAAAAGCTGCTGTTTCTTTGATCATTAGATCAGAGCTGCCGGTTTTAGCTTTGGCTCAGAGGACCAAACAGTGATCTTATTTTAACAATAGTGTGTGAAAAATGATTTCATACTGAAGAAAAGAGTTCAAAGTTATGCCAAAAATAATTTAAACAAACAGACTAATGCTTATAGGCACTGCTAACTAATCTAGTTGAATATATAGCCAAAGCCTGAATGTTTGTCTATCTCTTAGTTAAGCAGATTTTGTAACAACTAAAATACTACTCTCAGGACAAAAAACATAGATTCTTAAGAGGAGAGTGTGGGCAAACTAGTTATACCTGAGCAAGACAGTCATGTTCACTGGCGTTGAAGTGCCAGTGAAGGGCCTGGAGGCCATTGCTTTTTATCCTAAGTGTCCCCAGAGTCATTTGTGATCTCTGACTGTTCAAGCTGGTGCCAAAGGCCTCTTCTTCATTGCTGAGATAGTCTTTGACATTGTTCCTGTACCGGGCCCACTGGATTGTACCATCAAGGAAGTCAAACACCCGGAAAACCATAAACAAGCCACCATAAGCATGGAGGCCACCTCCTAAGAGCATGGGGCCTATAGAGTAAGAAGGAGGCAAAAGGGAAAAGGCAATGGTGGTGAGGTGAGTTTTGGAATCCCAGAAAGGAAGAGGAGGAATAGGTCTGTACGAGTCCAGGAATGGCAATAGTAACACACGCAGTGCTATCAGTCTAGACCCTGTTAGACATTTAAAGAGACACCTAGGGTGGCAAGAGAATAGAGGAATTTCCATTTGTCCACGTGCAATTCTCTACTCTAGTCAGACATGGAACTGTCTACTGAAGAACATTTCTGTCTGAGGTCAACAACGCAACTCTCCCCTCTTCTCTATCTCTCACCTTCCTTCATCCTGGCTCACAGTTCATCCCTTCCAATAGAGAATAAAGCTTAGTAAACATACAATGAGAAGGTGGTTTTAAAGTTGCCATTAAGAATAATTATTTTTCCTAATGTGTGTAATTCATACTTTAGATTTAGGTAAGTGATTAAGAAACTGAAATTCTGGATCAATAGCTTTTGATACTATGGGAGTCATTGTTTGCAGAGGCCAGGCTTCAGGTTTGAAATGAATGTCTGCATGAGTTGCTAATATAGACCAAGGAGAGCATGAGCACTCCTACTGCTGTGGTAATGATGCAGGCCAAGAGACACACCAGGAAAATGTTCACCCGTGACCACAGCCTGTTCTTTGCCTAGGGAAAATTAGAAAGCCATTATTCTCTACTTAAGACACATTAGAAATATTGCCTCCTTTCTCGGTTCTTAAATTTTTCTTTAAACTAACTTCAACTAAAATTCACTGACAAACATGATGAAAAGAGCTATTTTTTAAAGTATACTTAAAATGTATCTTTTAATTATTTCACGTTAAATCAGGACATGATCAGAGCAGGGGGTACTACATTTCTTAAGATGATAGCTGGCTTAAAGAGTTTTTCCTGAGCTCTGTGTTAAGGGTCTTAAGGGGAACTAGCCTCAAGATATAAACACCGAAATGCTGCATTGTAAAGAATACTAAAGATTCCAGCTTAGCTTCTATGTCTCATCTTCCTGATGAGGAAATTGAAGCCCAGGGTGGAGCAATGACTTGTGGAAAGCCACACTATTATCTGTAATTATAGGTGTAGAAAGAATTTCTCCTGATTCCTCTGTTATTCCACTAAATCAAAGTACTATCACTGCATATCATTTCAGGATCATTAAATTCTCTTTTTTGTTTTAGAAATCGAGTGTTGCTGTGTTGCCTAGGCTGGCCTCTAACTCCTGCCTCAAGAGATCCTCCTGCCTCAGCCTCCCAAGTAGCTGGGACTATACAAGTGCACAACACCAAACCAGATCATTAAAATGTAATACTCATGATCCAGCATTCTCAAAGGAAAGCTTACATTTACACACAACTGTAAGGTCACATTTACATTTTTAAAAGAAAATGATAGCATATAACTTTATATATCTAAGAGTAATTCTTTGCTAGACATTAGTATTTCTTCCTTAATCACTGGATTAAGTGATTAAACACTTCCTTGATCAGTGTTTCTCAAACTTTTTTTTTTTTAACTACATTCACATCAAGAAATACATTTCCCCCTGTGATCCAGTACATGTACAGATATACATGCACAAACACACACACACGTAAATACACACACACTACTGAAACAAAAGTTTCACAAAACAATATTTGTTATTGTATTAATTCCTTACACCTTATACAAAAATTAATTCAAGATGTATTAAAGACGTAAATGTTAGACCTAAAACCATAAAAACCCTGGGAGAAAACCTAGGCATTACCATTCAGGACATAGGCATGGGCAAGGACTTCATGTCCTAGAACACCAAAAGCAATGGCAACAAAAGCCAAAATTGACAAATGGGATCTAATTAAACTAAAGAGCTTCTGCACAGCAAAAGAAACTACCATCAGAATGAACAGGCAACCTACAGAATGGGAGAAAATGTTTGCAACCTACTCATCTGACAAAGGGCTAATATCCAGAATCTACAATGAACTCAAACAAATATACAAGAAAAAAACAAACAACACCATCAAAAAGTGGGCAAAGGATAGGAACAGACACTTCTCAAAAGAAGACTTTTATGCAGCCAAAAAACACATGAAAAAATGCTCACCATCACTGGCCATCAGACAAATGCAAATCAAAACCACAATGAGATACCATCTCACACCAGTTAGAATGGCGATCATTCAAAAGTCAGGAAACAATGGGTGCTGGAGAGGATGTGGAGAAATAGGAACACTTTTACACTGTTGGTGGGACTGTAAACTAGTTCAACCATTGTGGAAGTCAGTGTGGCGATTCCTCAGGGATCTAGAACTAGAAATACCATTTGACCCAGCCATCCCATTACTGGGTATACACCCAAAGGACTACAAATCATGCTGCTATAAAGACACATGCACACGTATGTTTATTGCGGCATTATTCACAATAGCAAAGACTTGGAACCAACCCAAATGTCCAACGATAGACTGGATTAAGAAAATGTGGCACATATACACCATGGAATACTATGCAGCCATAAAAAATGATGAGTTCATGTCCTTTGTAGGGACATGGATGAAACTGGAAATCATCATTCTCAGTAAACTATCGCAAAGACAAAAAACCAAACACCACATGTTCTCACTCATAGGTGGGAATTGAACAATGAGAACACATGGACACAGGAAGTGTAACATCACACTCTGGGGACTGTTGTGGGGTGGGGGGAGGGGGGAGGGATAGCATTAGGAGATATACCTAATGCTAAATGACGAGTTAATGGGTGCAGCATACCAGCATGGCACATGTACACATATGTAACTAACCTGCACATTGTGTATATGTACCCTAAAACTTAAAGTATAATAATAATAAAATAAAATTTAAAAAAGAGCTAAATGGGTGTGAGTTTAGAGTTTATGAGAGGGGGCAAATCAAGAAATGTTCATAAGAGGAGACGCTATCTTTCTGAAGAGGGTCACTTAAGAAGAACTGATCTAAAGAGGGGTTCTTGCCTGAGCTCTGTGTAAGGTCTTGGAGGGAACAAATCACAAGATATAAATCCCCACCTTACCATTCTAGAGATAGTGTTTATCGTCCCCATAGACAAACTATTCTGTGTTGCATCTTCATGCATTTCAAATGCTGAGCTGTCCATTGGCAAAGAGGAACAATCAATTCACTGAAAAAGAAAGGAGGGGAGAGGAAAAGATAGCTCTAGCAAACTGGGAGATCCCAGAGGAGAAGAATGAGGATTCTTAAGTAAGGGCATACTTGTATAGAGCTGAAAGTGAAGGACATGAAATAAGTAAATTATCTATTCAATCATAATCTTGGGTTAAAAAAAAATCCTTGAAAGAATTGCCAAATGAAAGACCAATAAAACACATCCTTTGGTCCCCAACTCTTTGCCCACTGATGACACATATAGAGATAGTAACAATAATAACTCACACTTATCTCCTTCTCTATGTGCTAAGTACTGTCCTGAGTGTTTTACAAACATTATGTGATATCATTCCTACAGTGATTATCAGGTGCTATTATTATTCCCATTTTACAGAAGAGGAAGCTGAGGTATAGGGAGGTGTGGTAACTGCCCCAAATCACAGACAGAGCCAGTTTAGTGTTGGAGCAAAGCACCTTTTGTCATAATATTCTTCCATGACATTGGTTCTTTTTGGCATCTGATGGTGGGGGCTTAGCCTAGTAAACTCTTTCTTTTTTACTCAAATCAGTCTTATTTCTTAATAATGTAGTTTTCCTAATAGTTTATGAAATAATCCTGTTACCTAAAAGTTAATCTTTACATAAAATTCATTTTGCATCTTTTTTCCTGGTGATGAATGGTGGCTGAGTAATCTAAAAACCCCTACTATAATCCACAAAACAGTCAGCCACCCTTCTTTCCTTCATACCTTTGGACCTTTACTCCTTCAATAAACATGATGTGTGCCTACTATATTGCAGGCTGTACACCACTCCTGTACAACATTAAGAGAATTTTGAGTAGCTCATAATTTAGGAGAAGAAGCAGAAAAGAAAGCAAATAACTACAACAAAATGTGCTAAGTGTTATGTAGAAATATATACAAAGTCCTGTGAGTATACAGAAGACTGATTGTATCGAGAAAGAAGGCAAGTCTTCACTGAAATTGCAACTGTGAGCTGAGGCTTCACATCCCAACATGGCCACACTAGGTGGGCACACTTAGTCAATTACATTCTAGTCCAAATTTCTGACTTGCCTCTAAGCAGCTCTATGACAGACCATGTGGTAAGAATGTAGACCCTATCTGTATCAGGCAGCCTAGGCTCCAAGAAAGGCTGCAGGTTAATCTATGATCAAGTGATGGAGAGATGACCTTGGGGCTTTCATATCATATTTGATCAAATCTAAAATACATATTTCTCCACATTTTAATATCTCTGAAAATGAGATATGTTTTAAAGTGAGTGGTCTTTTTGACTCCATGAAATATAGTGTGACCACTTTTCTTTGGTCTTATCTGACAATAGTACTATGTGAATCTTCAAAACAAGTTTTACACAACTTCACCATTTACTGTTATTTCTTGGAAATGTGAAAATGCAGCCTTGTGTCATAAGCATTATCTGGGGGCTGTGCTTAGCATTCATTTAAATGGCAAGACAAACAAATCATTAACTAAACTACACTAAAACTCACTGAAGCACTGAATCAGAGAAAGCTGCAGCTGGATAAGGTCATTTTGATCTTTTTTTCTTTTTTTTTGAGACGGAGTTTCGCTGTTGTTGCCCAGGCTGGAGCGTAGTGGTGCAATCTCGGCTCACTGCAACCTCCACCTCCCAGGTTCAAGCGATTCTCCTGCCTCAGCCTCCTGAGTAGTTGGGACTATAGGCATGTGCCACCATGCCCAGATAATTTTTGTATTTTTAGTAGAGATGAGGTTTCACCATGTTGGCCAGGATGGTCTCAATCTCTTGAGCTTGCGATCCACCTGCCTCGGCTCCCAAAGTGCTGGAATTACAGGTGTGAGCCACTGTGCCTGG
The DNA here is from genome assembly GCF_000001405.40 of Homo sapiens. NCBI lineage: Eukaryota > Metazoa > Chordata > Mammalia > Primates > Hominidae > Homo > Homo sapiens. Next base: position 54,410,888 of record NC_000018.10, on the reverse strand, counting down.
CTGATCTTTGCAGATAAGGAGCCCAAAGAGGCTAAGGATTTTCCCCAAGGTAACAGAGTAAGTCACTGGCAGAGCCAAAACGAAAGCCCAGCTCTCCCACTGTCAGCCAGAGCTTTCCCTACAATTTCTATTTGCTGCAGGAGAACGTCATGCCTTTGACATACATGTAAATGGTTCATGGTGAATTGAAGCCATACAGCTGAAAGCAGGAATATTTTTTTAATCATTTTAATGCACATGAAGTTAATTCTATGGTGTAGTGCAGAGGACTCTTGCACCACCACCAATAAAGGGGACACCAGTTCTTCACATAAACCAGAGAAATGCAGTGAGTTCTCTAGACCACTCAGAAATGCTTGGCAGGCTGCTAAGAAAATAGGCAGAATTGTAAACTGAACCAGATTCTACAATAGGAGCCAAATCACCAAGCAAGTGCCAGATGTATAGAAAGAATAGAAAACTGGTGACCCTACTTAGATTTCCTTGTAACATATCCAATCACCCACCTAATAATTACCTTTAAACAAGAGCCATACTACTTATATGCTGTGGCCATGGACAAACGTGGACTAATGCCTCAAAATTGGGAAGAACAATTAACAAATACATGTCCAATACTTCTGTTTTCACTTCAATGTTTAAATTATTGTTCTTCCAATCATAAACACCAAAAATATTTCCTGAAGTTCACTTATTTCAAATGGAATACATGCTCAGTTCAAACATAACTAGGACATACAAATATTTTTATTTACCAGTACCCAGGCTTATGCCCAAAATATTTAACAACCTATTTAACAACCTTGTTAAATATAAATTTTTAACAAAATATTTACTTAAATATTCAAGAACTTAAATACTTCAGAACAGAAGCAGTTAGCTGATATGGCCACGCTAGCATGTACTAGATGAACATCCGTTCTGCACCCAGGGCACAAGTACATAGTGAAGTGGTGAAGAGTCCAAACTCTGGAGCTGGACCACCATGGTTCAATTCCTAACCCCACCATTTATCGACTGTGTGGCCTGGGGCATGTTATTTAGCCTCTCTGGGCCTCAAGTTATTCATCTATATGATGGGGCTAATAACATTGCTCTCATAAAAGTCTGAGAGGATTAAATTAGTTAATGGATTCAAAGCTTGGGCCTGCATATAGTAAATGTACAACAAATGTTAGTCTTGTTCCTTTTAAATAAGCACAAGTAGGCTTGCTCCACTTCGATAATACCTATATTTTAATTGGTATAATAAGGACACTCCAAATTCATAAAACAGATATTACCCTTCCTAGTAATTCAAAGTACTGCATCCTTACACATTACTTTGGACAATGTATAGAATTACTCTTATTTTACAAATTAGAAAATTAGAGTAAAAACAGCTCCTTACATTCAGCTAATAAGAGAGTTGTAACTGAAACCCCGGCTTTCTTACTGCCATTCCAGGAAGCTTCCCATTTGGACCACATCTAAGCACTACAGAGCTGTGGCAGTGTCCCTTATCCTTTAACCCTTTTGTCATCTTTAAATGATGGCTTAACATCATTTAAACCACAGTCCCTTTAATCTCCAAAATGGGGGGCATGGAGAGGAGGGCAAGGATCCTTAATATCTATGTAACCATCAGATAGCCACCAAAATTTTATTTTTTAATGAAGGAAACAGAAAATTATCATTAGAATGTCACAGTAAAAATTGCTGCGGCAAGATCCCTTGATGGGTACTAAAATTACTAATTGAAAGGTAAACTGTAAACAATACTTGCATATTCTTAAATTATCTCTCCAAAATATCTGATAATTGCCAAGGGAAAATAGTAATTTTATTTTATTTTAAAAATTTTTTTGTAGAAATAGGGTCTTGCCATGTTGCCTGGGCTGGTCTTGAACTCCTGGGCTCAAGTGATCTTCTCACCTCGGCCTCCCAAAGTGCTGGGATTCCAGGCACTTTAGTGTCACCATGCCTGGCACTTCTAGTGAGCCACTGCACCTGTCTGGAAAATAGTGATTTTATAGTGGAGGATTCTGGTAGACACCACCTTAGCCAAGTCATCAAGGTTAACATCACCTATAATACACATCGACATCACATACCCACAATTTGGTGCACTGAGAAGGGCAGATCCCCTCCAGTCTATGGTAGCCTTCCCTAGAATGCTTAATTTCAATCTAATCATGAGAAAACATAAAAAAAAAACAAATTGAGTGACATTTTACCAAACTACTGAACAGTAATTACTGACTCTTCAAAAGTGACAGGATTATAAAAAACAGAAAGACAAGAACTATTACAGATTGGAGGAGACTAAGGAAATGTGACAATTAAATGAATTGGATCCTGGAACATAAAAATGACATTACAGGAAAAACTAGTGAAATCTGAGTAAGGTTTATAGTTTATAGTATTGTGCCAGGTTTTGAAAATTCTTTTATCATTATGTGGATGTTAACATAAGGATAAGCTGAAAGAAAGTTATTCAGGGAATATCTCTGCAACTCTAAAGTCTAAAGTCTAAAATTATCTCAAAATAAAAATTGAAAGAAAAGGGAAAGGAGGAAGGAAAATCATGAAAAACATCCATGACATCTTTTCCCTGGGCACATGGCTACTCTATATTTCCCACCATCCCTTACAGTCAGGTTTTGCCATGTGGCTGAGTTTTAATCAACAGACTATGAGCAGTAATGCTGTGTGCTATTTCCAGGCTCAGACTTTTAAAAAAAGAAGGTAATCCCCCACTATTCCCCCTCACACTTTCAGCAGGTGAATGCAGTGATGCCCTGGTGGGAAGGGCAGATCCATTAGACGGAAGGGGCCTGAGTCCCCAGGTCACTGTAAAGGAAACCCACCAGACCAGGGAAAAACACCCTTTTCAAACTCTTGCATATACAAGCAATAAAGTTCTGTTGTATTCTACCATTTTACATTTGGTAGGTCTATTTTTTACCACAAACTAAAATGAAAACATATTGATAACTTTTCTAGCTCTTATTTCTCACTAGGGTATGCTACAACTTTTATTATTTGAAATGTTTATCTCCATCACAAGGGCTAGACATAACTAATAATAAATTTGGCAAGTACAAAGAGCTGCTGATTGCAATATCTGTCAAAGGGAGAAACTGAATATATAAGATATAACTCTTCATTATATGATTTGAGTTTATTTTCCTGGAATATATCCAATCACAAAAGAATATTGTTTTTCTCAGAAAAACTGAGCCAAGTAGATTCTTCTTTATACCATACTGGTAAAGGAGAAAAAGCAATGCTACTAAGTTCCAATAAGAAATTTCCCCCATCTCTATGTTAGTCTACCTTTATAACCATTCAGGTGGAAAAGGCTGATAAGGCAATGTTGGGCAATTCTTTCTAATTACTTCCTTTGAAATGTCTACTACTAACAGGACTGATCAATATTCTCATTATGCAAATGTTTCTTATCTATTGTTCAACTTTCATATGACCACTGGATATCAGAGATGTATGAGAAGGTAGTATATAACAGACACTGGGAAGAGTTAGTAAATTTAGAAGACACGGACCCTTGCCTCAAAGATTTTACAATGTATGATTCATTCCAGCTAACAAATATACAAGGAAAATTGAACAGGAAAAAAAACATGTTTTATGGTATCCTGAAAACAAGATGGGAAAATCACATTACTGGTCCCATAGATAAAATTTAAATAGAGACGCCGGGCCTACCGCGGGAGCATGAGGGAAGCCATGCATTCCGTTCCAAGGCATCCGTGAGCCCGCGGAGTATACACCATGAGCAAAGCTCACCCTCCCGAGTTGAAAAAATTTATGGACAAGAAGTTATCATTGAAATTAAATGGTGGCAGACATGTGCAAGGAATATTGCGGGGATTTGATCCTTTTATGAACCTTGTGATAGACGAATGTGTGGAGATGGCGACTAGTGGTCAATAGAACAATATTGGAATGGTGGTAATACGAGGAAATAGTATCATCATGTTAGAAGCCTTGGAACGAGTATAAATAATGGCTGTTCAGCAGAGAAACCCATGTCCTCTCTCCATAGAGCCTGTTTTACTATGATGTAAAAATTAGGTCACGTACATTTTCATATTAGACTTTTTGTGAAATAAACTTTTGTAATAGTCAGAAAAAAAAAAACTTAAATAAGAACTTTAAATATTTTATCACCTCAAAATCAATGCCATACATTTAAATTCCTTTGCAGGAGAGGCTCAATACAAATTCCTGCTGCTCCCACCCCCGCCATTACCTATTCCCGAAACACCCTTGCTCTCAGGAGAACCCTAACCCGGCAGGCATTGGGTGGGTGTGGGCTTCTAATACAGGCATCAGAGAATGCTGGGAAGGACCCCTAACCTTGTGAAGTTAAAAAAAATGAAAATGTTCTATTCATTCAGCTCTACTCTACATAGCAATATGACTTTAGGCTAGTTCCTTAACCGTCCTAGGTCAGTTTCCTCAACTGTATACAATTATGACTGGATTAAATGACTGTCTAGCTCTGCCACTTGAGTTGGTGATATAATTATTTTGAGAAATAACATCAAATTGCTAGCTTCCCAACACTCCCATTTTTTAAGATTCCATTGGACATAATAATAAAGATATTCAGGCCTGGCACTGTGGCTCATGCCTGTAATCCCAGCACTTTGGGAGGCCGAGGTGGTCAGATCGCTTGAGCACAGGAGTTCAAGACCAGCCTGAGCAACAAGGCAAAACCCTGTCTCCACCTAAAATATAAAAATTAGCCAGGTGTGGTGGCACATGCCTATAATTCCAGCTACTCGGAAGGCTGAAGCACGAAAATCACTTGAACCTGGGAGAAGGAGGCTGCAGTGAGCCAAGACTGTGCCACTGCCCTCCAACGTGGGTGACAGAGTGAGACTGTCTCAAATAAAAAAGATATTCAACATTCCAGCAATTCGTTTCCCCAAATAAGTACTCCATATATAATGTATAATGCCAATCTAATGGCATAATAGAAGGTAAGTCAAACTTCAGGATGGCTACTGAGTGATCATATGGACAAGACCAGCTGAGTCTAGCTACAGAAAAGTTCTGTTATAGCTCATGTGCATTCACTCAACAAATATTGACTGAGGACTCGCGATGTCCAGGACACTGTTCCAGATGCTTCAGTTTTACTGGTAGATGAAACAGACAAAAATTCCCTGCCCTCATGTTGCTTACATTCTAGTAGGAGTCAGAACTAATTAATAATACTATGTTAAAAAGTGATAAGTACTATAAGAAAAAATTAAGCAGGGGGAGGCAGGAGTGTGTGATGTCAGAGGGAGCCATTTTAATTAATAAGGTGATCACATAAGCCTTGTCTGGAGTTTAGCCTAGAGTTCTATGCTAGTCTCAGTTTTATTGGTAATAAAATATGTACCCTTAGGCAAAGAATATAGATTCCTGTGCCTTATTCACTCTTCAGATAAATGGGTAAAGTCATAAACCCCACTCCTTGCCAACAACTCACTTCAGGAGTAAGAACTCTTGTTTCCTTGGAAGAAGATTGTGTCTACATCTAGGGTAGGAAAAAAAAATCAATAGAATCCAGAACATTCTGTTGTTGTCAGAAAGCAATGATGCTTTCAAGAATGTCAACACAATAGAGGCTTTCAAGGGCTCACACAAAGCCAGACTGTGACAAACTGAGCTTCAAATATGTAATAGCTACATTGCAGTTAATTGGAATATATTAAACCTATGAAAGGTCCTATGTTCATGGTGATACTCTAAGGCTAAAAGGTAATATAGAGTGTTGATAAACGTAGTTGTAATATAAAAGGATAAAGTAATAGAATATATGCTGTATTTTATTTATATATTTATTTATCTTATTTTTATTTATTTATTTTTTCAGATGGAGTCTTGCTCTGTCGCCCAGGTTGGAGTGCAGTGGCACAATCTCAGCTCACTGCAATCTCCGCCTCCCACGTTCAAGCAATTCTCCTGCCTCAGCCTCCTGAGTAGCTGGGATTACAGGTGCGGGCCACCATGCCTGGCTAATTTTTGTATTTTTAGTAGAGGCAGGGGTTCACCATGTTGGCCAGGCTGGTCTCAAACTCCTGACCTCAGGTGATCCGCCTGCCTCGGCCTCCCCAAGTGCTGGGATTACAGGTGTGAGCCACTGCGCCCAGTCTGTATGCTATATTTTAATAAGTAAAACAGTATTACTATAAGAACTTTGTTTCTTCTATTAATGATATATCTCTTTATAAATTATGAATATATACTTTTTCTGTTTAGGCACAATAGTAAACATAGAAGAGGGAACCACTTCAGAAGGTTGTGATAAAAATCCAAGGAGAGATTTCAGACAGTGTTTGAGAAAAATTTTAACTCATCATAAAATGGAAAGGATTAGCAGTTGTCTCTTCTTCTCCCATTCAGGGGAAAATAAATATACATTTAGATTTCTCACACTCCTGGCAATGCCTCTACATCACTCTTCCTTCAAATCTTCACCTGCCATATTTGCTACAGACCTACTGCAGAGAGATGGGATAAGATCTATCCATTAATGAACTCCTCCTTCTAGTTAAAACTTAGAGATTTTAGGTAATTCTTCTGACAGATGATCAATCCACTGGAAGCCAGGTTACTGTTCAGACTTTATCGACACTTCACTGGGCTTCACACACCTGGAACAGTCTCTTCCTTTGACATCGTCTCCTGAACTTGCATACCACAGATGAATTTTTTAAGATACAATGGCAAAACCTGACAGAGAAAGGTCGGGTTACACACAAAGGGAAGCCCATCAGACTAACAGCTGATCTCTTGGCAGAAACTCTACAAGCCAGAAGAGAGTGGGGGCCAATATTCAACATTCTTAAAGAAAAGAATTTTCAACCCAGAATTTCATATCCAGCCAAACTAAGCTTCCTAAGTGAAGGAGAAATAAAATACTTTACAGAGAAGCAAATGCTGAGAGATTTTGTCACCACCAGGCCTGCCCTAAAAGAGCTCCCGAAGGAAGCACTAAACATGGAAAGGAAAAACTGGTACCAGCTACTGCAAAAACATGCCAAATTGTAAAGACCATCAAGGCTAGGAAGAAACTGCATCAACTAACGAGCAAAATAGCCAGCTGACATCATGACACGACCAAATTCACATATAACGGTATTAACTTTGAATGTAGATGGGCTAAATGCTCCAATTAAAAGACACAGACTGGCAAATTGGATAAAGACTCAAGACCCATCAGTGTGCTGTATTCAGGAAACCCATCTCACATGCAGAGACACACATAGACTCAAAATAAAGGGATGGAGGAAGATCTACCAAGCAAATGGAAAACAGAAAAAGGAAGGGGTTGCAATTCTAGTTTCTGATAAAACAGACTTTAAACCAACAAAGATCAAAGAAGACAAAGAAGGCCATTACTTAATGGTAAAGGGATCAATTCAACAAGAAGAGCTAACTATCCTAAATATATATGCACCCAATACAGGAGCGCCCAGATTCATAAAGCAAGTCCTTAGTGATCTACAAAGAGACTTAGACTCCCACACAATAATAATGGGAGACTTTAACACCCCACTGTCAACATTAGACAGATCAAAGAGACAGAAAGTTAACAAGGATACCCAGGAATTTAACTCAGCTCCACTCCAAGCGGACCTAATAGACATCTACAGAACTCTCCACCCCAAATCGACAGAATATACATTCTTTTCAGCATCACACCACACCTATTCCAAAATTGACCACATACTTGGAAGTAAAGCACTCCTCAGCAAATGTAAAAGAACAGAAATTATAACAAACTGTCTCTCAGACCACAGTGCAATCAAACTAGAACTCAGGATTAAGAAACTCACTCAAAACCACTCAACTACATGGAAACTGAACAACCTGCTCCTGAATGACTACTGGGTACATAACGAAATGAAGGCAGAAATAAAGATGTTCTTTGAAACCAATGAGAACAAAGACACAACATACCAGAATCTCTGGGACACATTCAAAGCAGTGTGTAGAGGGAAATGTATAGCATTAAATGCCCACAAGAGAAAGCAGGAAAGATCTAAAATTGACACCCTAACATCACAATTAAAAGAACTAGAAAAGCAAGAGCAAACACATTCAAAAGCTAGCAGAAGGCAAGAAATAACTAAGATCAGAGCAGAACTGAAGGAAATAGAGACACAAAAAAACCCTTCAAAAAATTAATGAATCGAGGAGCTGGTTTTTTGAAAAGATTAACAAAATTGACAGACCGCTAGCAAGACTAATACAGAAGAAAAGAGAGAAGAATCAAATAGACGCAATAAAAAATGATAAAGGGGATATCACCACCGATCCCACAGAAATACAAACTACCATCAGAGAATACTATAAACACTTCTATGCAAATAAACCAGAAAATCTAGAAGAAATGGACAAATTCCTCGACACATACATCCTCCCAAGACTAAACCAGGAAGAAGTTGAATCTCTGAATAGACCAATAACAGGCTATGAAATTGAGGCAATAATCAATAGCTTACCAACCAAAAAGAGTCCAGGATCAGATGGATTCACAGCCGAATTCTACCAGAGGTACAAGGAGGAACTGGTACCATTCCTTATGAAACTATTCCAATCAATAGAAAAAGAGGGAATCCTCCCTAACTCATTTTATGAGGCCAGCATCATTCTGATACCAAAGCCTGGCAGAGACACAACCAAAAATGAGAATTTTAGACCAATATCCTTGATGAACATTGATGCAAAAATCCTCAATAAAATACTGGCAAACCAAATCCAGCAGCACATCAAAAAGCTTATCCACCATGATCAAGTGGGCTTCATCCCTGGGATGTAAAGCTGGTTCAACATATGCAAATCAATAAATGCAATCCAGCATATAAACAGAACCAAAGACAAAAACCACACGTTTATCTCAATAGATGCAGAAAAGGCCTTTGACAAGATTCAACAACGCTTCATGCTAAAAACTCTCAATAAATTAGGTATTGATGGGACGTATCTCAAAATAATAAGAGCTATCTATGACAAACCCACAGCCAATATCATACTGAATGGGCAAAAACTGGAAGCATTCCCTTTGAAAACGGGCACAAGACAGGGATGCCCTCTCCCACCGCTCCTATTCAACATAGTGTTGGAAGTTCTGGCCAGGGCAATCAGACAGGAGAAGGAAATAAAGAGTATTCAATTAGGAAAAGAGGAAGTCAAATTGTCCCTGTTTGCAGATGACATGATTGTATATCTAGAAAACCCCATTGTCTCAGCCCAAAATCTCCTTAAGCTGATAAGCAACTTCAGCAAAGTCTCAGGATACAAAATCAATGTGCAAAAATCACAAGCATTCTTATACACCAATAATAGACAAACAGAGAGCCAAATCATGAGTGAACTCCCATTCACAATTGCTTCAAAGAGAATAAAATACCTAGGAATCCAACTTACAAGGGATGTGAAGGACCTCTTCAAGGAGAACTACAAACCACTGCTCAGTGAAATAAAAGAGGATACAAAGAAATGGAAGAGCATTCCATGCTCATAGGTAGGAAGAATCAATATCATGAAAATGGCCATACTGCCCAAGGTAATTTATAGATTCAATGCCATCCCCATCAAGCTAGCAATGACTTTCTTCACAGAATTGGAAAAAACTACTTTAAAGTTCATATGGAACCAAAAAAGAGCCCACATCGCCAAGTCAATCCTAAGCCAAAAGAACGAAGCTGGAGGCAACACGCTACCTGACTTCAAACTATACTACAAGGCTACAGTAACCAAAACAGCATGGTACTGGTACCAAAACAGAGATATAGACCAATGGAACAGAACAGAGCCCTCAGAAATAATGCCGCATATCTACAACTATCTGATGTTTGACAAACCTCACAAAAACAAGCAATGGTGAAAGGATTCCCTATTTAATAAATGGTGCTGGGAAAACTGGCTAGCCATATGTAGAAAGCTGAAGCTGGATCCCTTCCTTACACCTTATACGAAAATTAGTTCAAGATGGATTAAAGACTTAAATGTTAGACCTAAAAGCATAAAATCCCTAGAACAACACCTAGGCAATACCATTCAGGACACAGGCATGGGCAAGGACTTCATGTCTAAAACACCAAAAGCAATGGCAACAAAAGCCAAAATTGACAAATGGGATCTAATTAAACTAAAGAGCTTCTGCACAGCAAAAGAAACTACCATCAGAATGAACAGGCAACCTACAGAATGGGAGAAAATTTTTGCAACCTATTCATCTGACAAAGGGCTAATATCCAGAATCTACAATGAACTCAAACAAATTAACAAGAAAAAAACAAACAACCCCATCAAAAAGTGGGCAAAGGATATGAACAGACACTTCTCAAAAGAAGACATTTATGCAGCCAAAAGACACATGAAAAAATGCTCATCATCACTGGCCATCAGAGAAATGCAAATCAAAACCACAATGAGATACCGTCTCACACCAGTTAGAATGGCAATCATTAAAAAGTCAGGAAACAACAGGTGCTGGAGAGGATGTGGAGAAATAGGAACACTTTTACACTGTTGGTGGGACTGTAAACTAGTTCAACCATTGTGGAAGTCAGTGTGGCGATTCCTCAGGGATCTAGAACTAGAAATACCATTTGACCCAGCCATCCCATTACTGGGTATATACCCAAAGGAATATAAATCATGCTGCTATAAAGTCACATGCACGCCTATGTTTATTGCAGCACTACTCACAAGAGCAAAGACTTGGAACCAACCCAAATGTCCAACAATGATAGACTGCATTAAGAAAATGTGGCACATATACACCATGGAATACTATGCAGCCATAAAAAATGATGAGTTCATGTCCTTTGTAGGGACATGGATGAAACTGGAAACCATCATTCTCAGCAAACTATCGCAAGGACAAAAAACCAAACTCCACATGTTCTCACTCATAGGTGGGAATTGAACAATGAGAACACATGGACACAGGAAGGGGAACATCACACACCGGGGACTGTTGTGGGGTGGGGGGAAGGGGGAGGGATAGCATTAGGAGATATACCTAATGCTAAATGACGAGTTAATGGGTGCAGCACACCAGCATGGCACATGTATACATATGTAACAAACCTGCACGTTATGCACATGTACCCTAAAACTTAAAGTATAATAATAATAAAATAAAAAAAAAAGAATGGGAAAACCAAAGAAACACCAAGTATGGTCCTAAGAATGAAGCAATCAATTAAAGGGCACCCTTTTTCAAAGCCATTACAGCACACTAACGGATCGGTTGACATGCATCAAGTGCTTGTTCTGTACAGATAGCGTGCTGAGGAGCTGAGAATGCCAGAAAACATAAACCACGATCTCTACCCTCAAAAAGTAAGCTGAAATTTTCCTTTTCATAGAAGCTACCCTGGGGAAAAAATAAACACACTGCAGAGAAACCTCTGTATCATTCCAGTGCCCAATGGTCATACCAATGACCCAAGTACATAATGTGAGATCGTGGGTAATGACTGCAGGATCTCTGAGGCAATCATTCAAGTTTAGAGGAACTTGTTTTGAATAATGGTCCGTGTATATTTGCTGACAAACACTGACGTTATGGCTACCATTCGTGGTGGCACAGATGCTCCCTTCTTTTGCATTCTTAGTATGAATGAACACTGTCTGTAAACATGGACTTCTTTTGTAAATTCACAAAGCTTTAGAAGCAAAAGAAATTATTTCTTAAAAAATAACAAACCTTCAATGGTTGCAATTTCATTTCTGGGTGGGCCACTTAATGCCTCCAAATACAGCAAGTTCCTTCTGAGCATGGTTCACTGTTTTTACCACCAACGTGCTAAATGCCATTTCCTTTCCTTGCACACATCTATCAAAACTCTCTAATATCCTCAGAACTAGGTTAAGTGCTCCTATAATACATTCTCAACACACCCTGAATGTTTCATTCAAAGTGTTCCTTCCAGTTAATAATTGTAGAATTATTGGTTACATGAATGCCTCCACTGCCAGATTACAGATTGCATAGAGCAGAAACACCATCATTAAGGCTTAGCATAAAACCTGGCACTTAGTAGACTTAAATGAATAAATGATTGACTCTTATGTGATACTTATAATTCAGTACAACCACATTTCTTACCCTAAACCACTAACAAGAAGTGACCAATGTATCCAGCCATCATCATTCTCTCCTTCTCTTACCTTTCTAAAAGTGTTGTTAACATAGGAGAAAATGTAAGTGGTCAATTAAACCATGTACAGTATGGTTTTAAAACACATAGAAATGGTATAGCAGTACCAGATGCTAAATAAGAAATATCAGTGTGAATTCATGTCATTTTCCAGCTCCATTACTACCAAAAACAGTCCAACAACAGCTGCAGTAGCTGTACTTTTGCCCTACGTTCACTCTCATATGTTTTGCTAGTATTCAGACTATGGTACCTTATACTATTCTTTACCATGAGGAGCAAGAACTCTTGTTTCCTTGGAAGGAGGTTGTGTCTACATCTAGGGCAGGAAAAATCAGCAGAGTCATAAGGCCAACATACCCAGGCATTAAAATATAATAACAGGACAATGGCTCGGGTATTGCTGGCTATGGGAAATCTAAAGACTAAATTATTTTTGTGATAAACACCATTCAAAAGTTAAGAACAATAAGTACTTAAGAGTCTCATGATACAATACATAAAACTTCAATGTCAAAAGAAAAGCAACTCCATCTAATGTTCCTATAAGCAGGTCCAATATCTCAACCAATAATTAACTTGATATTCAGTTCCTATAACATCACATGAAATTACAAAATCCCTGGAGAAAAAATCAAAATAATAAAACCCTACGAAGCTATCAAAGTATAACACTTGGAAAATATAAGATCTAATACATGAGTATGAATCAAAATCATGGTGCTGATGTTTTAGGTTTAAGCATAACTTTAGAAATAGTTTTGAAATGATTGTATTTGTGTATAGTTTATCTCCTGTTAAAAGAATCAGATATACTAGTTTGAGTATAATCTAAATTGCTTCAGGGAATTAATCAACTTGCAATTGTTGTTTAAATGTTTGGAAAAGTTGGCTTTTTTTAATTTTATGTATTTAATTCATCATCAAAATGCACAGTGGTTGGTGTTGCTTTCCATTTTCAGAGATCTCTGGGACAAAAGACCTATCAATAAGAATTTAAAATATATAGAAAACTTCAGGCCTTAGGCTGCAATTGAGTCCCCACAAGAATGTAAGTATTCATATGCATTTCTGCCATGACTTAAAAGGTTACTTCAACCCTATATTCTAAGAACACTCTGCCAGAGCAGGGGTTTAGGCTTTGTAGTCCAAGAACTAAAATCAAAGATATTATGTAGGTACTTACATGCCAAGAGAGAAAATTAATTTCAAAACAAATTTATAGATAAAATTTAAAATATAATAATAATTGAGTATAATTTTTTGTAATACAAGTCTACTAATGAGAAAAACTGAACTCTTCTTTCTCTTCTTTAGGAGATAACATTTTGCTTAATTGGGGTTCAAAGTAGTGCTCCTTGTCATAAATGTTCATCTGTTAATGATGAACAGTTGCAAATTTCATCTTTGAAAATGTTTTTGTACAGATAGGTACTGCCCAATACTAATGTCAATCTATAAACATATTATTTTAGTTGAACATATTCATGATTAGAAAGCATTTATGAAATTCTATTAGATTCTACCTTTGATATTTGCTTTTCAGTATGTCATTACATTAATAACCTCCAATTGAAGGTAAGGTGAAAGTTCCTCAATTGCACAATTAAATGAATGTTTAAATATAGGAAGTCCCTTTGCATTTGAATTGAAGTCCAAAAGTGCTCCTGAAACTATAATTTGATCTTGGAAATTACATCCACTGCAAGTCTGTGTAGGAGTGGAGATTTCACTTCTTGTTTTACCATTTGGAAACATGAGAACTGATGACATTACTTGTGATTCAAATGTTAACTGTCATCAAAATAACTTTACCACAGTATAATATTTGCATGTATGTGATGTTTTACCTTGTAATTTTAAGTTGAATTCATTAAGAAACATTATGAAGTCTACCTCGTGTTAATTTCAAAGCCATATAGTGTTCCTTAATAGTTGAAGCTAATTTTTCTCATTCTGAAAAATTTTAGTTTTCCCCTAAACTCAAAAGTATCACATAAAACTTAACAACTACTAAATTATCAAACTGCTGTGTAGTAGGGCAAGAGAGAAGATCAAACTTCTATTTCTGACCCCCAAAAAATGCAGAACTGATGATGGTTAAATCCACAAGAGCAAATGAAGTTCACTGTTGATACTATTGGTTCAGTAACATATGGTAGACCCAAATACTTTCCGCAAAGAACTTGCTAATGAATAATGCCATGAATAGGCATTATTCATGCCTGGCTAATAATGCCATGAATAGGGCTTCAACATCCTACATTTTGATAAGATTTGTAAATTTGTCCAACTAAGATTTTTTTCTGCTTCACACATATTTTTACCACAATGAGTTGTAATAAATCTTAGCAAATTCCATTTCAAGTTTACTGGATAGTTTTTCTCAACTTCTTTAAAAATACTCCTCCTGTGCTTGTAACTTGCAGGCTATTAATAGAGATTAATTCTTTAGACACTTCAAACTTGGGATTGACTCCTTAAATAAAAAACAACTGAGCAGTATCAGTAACATCACTGACTCATCAAGAGACAAGCAAAACCATTGAAATGAATTTTTCTCTGCTTTTTATTTGACTATTGATGTCGCTTTCAATGTCTTCAACTCTTTGAACAACTATTCTCCCCAAAGGGCTAATAGTCTTAAACACGTGTATTTTCTCTGCACACATTCCTTCAGTTGCTGCAGTCGAACTCAGTTTAAATAACCTAACATTGATAAACAGATTTCCTTACTTGACCCACAAATGAGCCACTCAAAACTTAGTGGCCTCATTTCCATTTATTATTTTTGTAAAGAAATTCTACAGTGATGCTATTAAATGTTCTAGTTTATCTCACTGTTGCTTTCCTGTGAGTTGGAAATACTGTGATAGATCTTCAGCCTAGTCATGGTAATGTATATTTGTATTCTTTTAGCACAGCTGTAATGTCAGTGCATAACAAACACAATGATTTGCCACCTAATTTAATAACAAAATAAACTACACTCCACCATGCCTAAAAGTATGATATTTGAAGTTCATTTTCCCCATCTTGTTTGACATGATGGGTATGCACTGGCAGTAACAAATAAATAAAATCCTATTGTGGCAGGCCAATTCCCCCGACAATCACACAGACAGGTCTACACAGTACTTCAGTTACACAGACAAATTTCCACAGCACTGCCTTAACATTGAGCAAATAGTTAAATCTAGGGAAACCAGTGCCCAGACATCAAAGCTAGAAATGAAACATATTGTCAGTAGGAGCCTTGCATGGGCTTCTCCCTAACCTGGAGCAAGTCAAAATAATAGAGACAATCTTAAATTCTTAGTGCCGGGATCTGTCTGAGAGTCAAGGTAACAGAGGCAGCTGTTTGAATAGATTCACTGGAGAGCGCAAGGCAGCTCTCCAGACCAAGCTATAAAGGAGATAAGATAGAAATAATCACTCCGGTTCCACAGTAGACAGGCCTGAAGGTACTGGTGGTACTGGGGCCCTTTTAATCAGACTTAGCAAGCATTTTTTGCCTCTGACCTTCTAGTTGAAACAAAATTAGTTACCAATAGGCTTAGGCGAATGCTATACTGCACGTAGGCACATAACCCCAACCTATATAAGCACCAAGAAAATTATAACACTTTGAGTTGGTCTGATGGAATTATCTCTGACCTTCTCCCTGTATCCAGTTACAACAATCAATTCCCTTCTGTCCTAGTTTGTCTGCTTCTCATTATTGGACCTCGAGAAAATGCAGCCAGAGCCGGCTTGGTTCTGGAAACACTACGGTACAGTTATATGTGCAGAACTCAAAACGCTGACAAGTAATAACCACATCACTTTAATTCGTAGTGCATGGAACAGCAGTGCAGTGATGAAAATACCATATATGGCCTCTGTTGCAACTAGTCAGTATTGCCAATGTAGTGCAAAAGGTGGCCTGTAATCCCAGCACTTTGGGAGGCCGAGGCAGGTGAGGTCAGGAGTTCAAGACCAGCCTGGCCAACATGGCAAAACCCCGTCTCTACTAAAAATACACAAATTAGCCAGGTGTGGTGGTGTGCACCTGTAATCTGAACTATTCGGGAGGCTGAGGCAAGAAAACCGCTTGAACCTGGGAGGCAGAGGTTGCAGTGAGCAGAGATCGCGCCACTGCACTCCAGCCTGGGTGACAGAGCGAAACTGTGTCAGAAACAAAGAAAGGAAGGAAGGGAGGGAGGGGTGAAAGGGAGGGAGGGAGAGAGGGAAGAAGGGAGGAAGGTAGGAAGGGAGGGAGGAAGGGAGGGAGGGAGGGAGGGAGGAAGGGAGGGAGGAAGGAAGAAGAAAAGAAGCAAAGAAAGGAAGGAAAGGAAGGAAGGAAGGAAAAAGAAAGGAAAGAAAGGAAAGAGAGAAATTGGGCAGGCACTCACACCTGTAATCCCAACACTGGGAGCCAAGGAGGGATGATAGCTTGAGCCCAGGAATTCAACATCATCCTGGCAACATGGAAAAAATCCCATCTTTACAAAAAATAAAAAATTAGCCAGGCATGGTGGCATGTGCCTGTTGTCCCCTCTACTCAGGAGGTTAATATGGGAGGATCCTGTGAGCCTGGAGTTCAAGGCTGCAGTGAGCTGTGATTGTACCATCACACTCCAGCCTGGGCACAGAGCAAGACCTTGTCTAAAAGAAAAGAAAATACATAAATGATTAACTGTGATTATGTTCCAATAAAAGTTTATGAACACTAAAGTTTAAATTTCTTTTGTCATAAAATATGACACATCTTTTAATTTTTATCCAACTATTTCAAAATGTAGAAAACATTCTTAGCTGGCAGGCCATACAAAAACTGGTAGTAGGCTAGAGTCAGACTGTAGTTTACCTACCCCTGATTTGATCTTACTTCTCCCCACTTCCTGGTTCAGGACCTACGATGATCTAGAAAGGTGCATGATCAGAATGAGTTAATCAGCACTGACAGCCTCCTCTTCCAGGCAGGGTAGATCCTGCTTTATTAAAAGGATGATTATTTCTACTAGATTGCTAATAATCTAGTTCCAGAAGAACCACTGATTGACCATTTTTAATTACCTTTTGGAAAACCTCTAGTCATGTCTCAGTTTTGACCTTTATTACAAATCTGTCAACATCAAAATCATTCCTAACTTGCCCTCTTTTTATGCAAGGTGAGATGTGTGGTCCTGAGAAGATGCTGTTCAAACTATTGAACCAGATCCTTGATTTACTTGCGTCTCCCAGATAAGGAGGCCTGTGGAAGGATTTGGCTCATTCTTAACAAGTGAGAACTTCCAATAGCCAGGGAACTCCAGTACACAGTTGGTGCCATGTTTGCACTTTTTCATTTAAACCTAAGATCACGGGTCATAGAGAATGCGGCTTTCCAGAAACTAGAGCAGGGACTTCATCTCCCAGGTACAGTTCAAGATTTGTCATTTATAAATAGCGATGTTCTCAAAGTTTGTATCTTATCCTTCCCCCCCACCCCCCGCTCCCCGCCTGCCTCTTTCCGCATCCCACATTTTCTGTTTTTTTTTTTCCCTGACTTAAAATAGGAGAGATGTTGGGGAGGCTACCACCACAGGTTTAGTCCACTAGGTAGACTTGATTTAATCATGCATATGAGAAGGACGCCTCAGGGTAAGAAGTAATAAGGATATTTCCTTTGAATCCCTGTTCCTAGCTCACTATATCAAGTTTATGTCTTGCTGAACACCCAAAGCCAATTATTATTACATTTTTTACATTCTTAAGGACCGCCCTTTAGACTAGCAAAAAGCATATGCCAAGGCTAAAACATCCTTCCATTATGTGAGTGTTGGGAGGATGACCAGGGAGAGACCTGGCATAATGTGAAGTTATTAGTGGTCTAACAGGAATCCTGGGGCTGAGGATGCTAAAGGGAAGTGAAGTGAGTTGGGGCCAGAGTCATAATGCTTTATGTCTACATCAGGTTTCCAGAAGGAGAAAGGTGCCCTCTAGTGGAATAAAAAAGCATAACAGCTCTTACTATTAATAACGCTTCTGTTTCTACAGGCAGTCATTACTGGCTGAAATTCTGACACCATGAACTGGCATAATTCTTTTTACCAGCAACAACTAACACAAATCACTTATTATATTCCGGGAACTGTGCTAAGTAAGCACTTTACAAGCATTACCTCACTTAATCTTCACAACCGTATGAGATAGATACCATAGCTCCCCTTAAGAAATTGAAGATCAGAGGTTTAATTTGCCTAACGTACTCCAGCTAATAAGAGAAGAAAAAGATTACAATTAAATTTTAAACCCTCCTAAGAAATCTGCCTCATAAAACTATGTACGTGCACACACAGAGAGACAGAGACAGAGAAAGAGAGAAAGAGAACAAGAACTATATTTTTTAAATATCTGCTACTCTTTGCTCATTTTTTCCTCCCCCATCTTTTTTAAAACCATTTTATTAAGGTATGATTGATGTTGCTTTGCTCATTTGTAATAGAATATCTAACTATTCTGCTTTGGCTTGGAATGAGCAAATCTGTTTCTGAATAAAATTTTATGTTTCCCCAGGTTTCTCTTTAAAAAATTATTGAATACTTGTGATTTAAAGAGGCATTGACTTTTTAATTGTTAGAGGCACCATCATGAGCCAGGTCATGAACAATATTATTCCTCACTGTCACCAGTGCTTCTGGACCACCTGCCAAAAGAAACTTCTTTGTGTTCATTTCTGTTTTCTTTTACTTGTGTCTCCCACACCCAAAAAATTGTTCAATTAATTAAATATCTACTACTGCAACCTAAAATAAATTAATAGCCCTCTTAACATTATTAAAATACTATATTCTGGGAACTTGTTTTACACTAAAACATCACAAAAACCTCACGAAGAGTAGCTCTATCTCTGAACAAAAACAATAAGCCTTCATTCTACCTTTCATTACTATCTAATGAAATTAACATAGTATATTGTTGCCGTGGCATCAGGTTTTAAGGACTGGCTACTAAAAAGAAGAAAAAAAAAAATGGCTTTAGTATCTGAAAAAAAGTTCCACTTACTGCAAGCACAAATCAATATAGGGACTAACAAAAAATTAATATTCATTTTAGGCTGCATCAAAAATGCTAATCCCCTTCCTTCTGCCCACAGAATAAATCTAAAATTCTTGGCTGAGTATATCAAGTACCTCAGATGGGCCCCCAAGCCACTTTCTCAGCCTCATTCATTCAGAGAACAAGTATTTTTGGAGCATTTTACATAACTGCTAAGTGCTCTTCTAATTGTTAGGGATACAGCAGTGAATCAAACAAAGGCCCCAACCTCAATATTAATTAAAGAAAAACAAAGGAGGAAAGGGGCAAAGAGTAATGGCGTAAGCAATGGTGGTGGCCAGGGTTGGCCTCTGGTAAATGACGTTTGAGCATACACCTGAAGTAAGGAAGTGAATCACGGAATATTTGAGGAAAGACTATCCAGGTGGAGGAAACAGTGCAAAGCTCTGAAAGCAGACACTCATGTTCATAGTAATTGAGAAGAGCAAGACCAATATGGCTGAATTATATAGCAAATGGAGTGGTAGAAAATGCACTGGTTTTGTAAGGTGAGGGGACTGAGAGATATTGGCATACCATAGAACTTTCTAGACTACGGTAGGAATTTCCGTTTTACTCTGAAAGGAAGGCAGGGGAAATTTTAAGAAGAGATAAACATCACATGACATGTTTGCAAAAGATTGTTCTTGCTGTAGTGTGGAGAATAGAATGGAGAGGGCATTTTATTGCCTTAGAGGCAAAAGCAGCTTTATGTCTTATTCCTAGTGTCTCCCTCAACTAAATGTATTAGCCCTTTGGCAATTTGTATTTTCTGAGCTCATATGTGCCAGGCATACGTTTTCTCATTTAATCCTCAAAACAAAACTGCAAAGTAGATATCAAAAAAGAGAGGGAAAACAAAAAAGGCTCAGGCAAGGTCAGGACACTTGTCCACAGTAAAGAGCTAATAAAATAGTGGAATCATAAATCTGCTGATTCTGAAGCCCAGACTTCTTTTACAGCACACACTATTCTGATTCAACAAATTCTGTAGCAGGCTTTTCACCACTCAATCTTTGCACACATATTATCTCCTGGCTAGAAAAAACACCCTTCAGGCTGGGCCCAGTGGCTGATGCCTGAAATCCCAACACTTTGGGAGGCCGAGGCGGGTGGATCACCCGAGATCAGGAGTTCAAGACCAGCCTGGCCAACATGGCGAGAACCTGTCTCTACTAAAAATACAAAAATTAGCTGGGCGTGGCAGCAGGCGCCTGTAATCCCAGCTACTCAGGAGGATGAGGCATGAGAATCGCTTGAACCCGGGAGGCAGAGGCTGCAGTGAGCCAAGATCACGCCATTGCACTCCAGCCTGGGTAACAAGAGTGAAACTCTGTCTCAAAAAACAACAACAACAACAACAAAAACACACACCCTTCTACTCAATTTCCTTGATGGCAAACTTCTGTTTGTTTTTCTATATCAACTCAAGTATCCTCTCCTGAGTGAAATCTTTCCTGGTTTTCCCCAGGCCACTTAGCTGATCCATCTTCTGTGCTTCTTTATCAGTTGTTCTATCTTCATTTCTCTGAAGCAACACTTACCTGGTTATAGTATACATTTCTCCACTTACATATTTCCTCCACTGAGTTCCTCATGATAGAGCGACGCCTTATTTGTGATCACCACCCCCCACACCCCCCGACACACACAGCCCTAGAACAGTGCCAGGAGCCAAATAAATACTAGTTGAATAAAGTACTATAATAAACTATTAAACAGAGTCCCCACATTCTACTCTATGAATTCTGGACATCTGGTGCCACATTAAAAAAAAAAAATTGAAAGCTAGAAAGCATCTAGAAAGGTGAAACGGTAAAGAAGAAATAAAACTTTTACCAAAGAAATAATTTAGAAACATTGAGCCTAAAGGATGGAACATTACTTCTGTTGATTTCAACAGAAATTAGGAAGATTGAAATATGTATATGAAATTGTCTTAAGAGGCAAAATTAAGAGTAAAATGTGAAGACAGAAATGTAAATCATGACTTAACTGAAGCAAGTATATGCTAAGAAACAAAGCATTCCGACTGCAGAGAATTTTCCACTTCCAGAATTGCTCATATAAAACTATATGACCATCTTGATGAAAAGTAATGAAAGGAATGCTCTATGCTCCTGCTATATTGAGGGTGCCATTCATGTAACTCCAGAATATAAACAGTAGTCCCAATTTCTAGTTCATGAACTATTTTATGAAGTTATCACATTCATTAGATTTTGAAAATATTGGCTCAAGAGTTTTCACGGTTCCTCAGTTTTCTAAATGACCTGGTATTTTCACTACCTTACCCATATGCCCACATTTCTTGGACAGGCTATGCAATATGTTGCAAAACAAGGAGGGCAAAGGAGGATGAGTGAGATATTTTATATTTACATTGTGATGAGCTCTCTCATCAAAACCTTCCTACAACCTGATCAGCTTCTGCACTAGTTATCAATGTACGGTCTCTCAGCTCCCAATTCACCCCAGAGGGTCTCTCCTGCTGCTTTCTGGCAGCTACACCATCAATAAGAAGCGTGGGTGTGAAGACATCTGGGGCAGCTCTGCCCTAGCCACGCTCTGGTAATGTATTATTCTTAGTGACTTTATAGACCTCATCCGGGCTGGTGATCACCTTCTACGACCCTCCCAAAAGAGACACCTCACACTCCAGATGTCCTGCCAGCACTAGTGCCCCTCCCCCAACTCTTTCTGCATTCTCACACACTGAGTCACCATTGTGGCTTCCTGCTTGCCTGGTAACTAAACACCAGCCAGCACTGGTCTGAGCAAACCATAACTTTCACTGCAATCCAGCGAGCCACAGTTACCCTTTTTTCAACAAGGTCTGAATCCAGACTTTGGGCTCCCTCTTCCAAGTCTGCCCTTTCTTGGGTACTCTCCCTCAACTAGTTTAAAACTTTTTTATTAAACTTCCCTTGTTTAAAATCACTATTTGGTTTGCTTCTAGATTAGACCCAAACTGATAGTGACCATTGAGCCAGGCTTGAAAAAGCAACACAATGCAAAACCACATGTGGTCTGCATGTGTTCCCTAAATTCATGTGTTGGAAACTTAATTCCCAATGCAACAGTATTGGAAGACAGAGACTTTTGGGAGGTATTTAAGTCATGAGCAGAATCAATGTCATTCTAAAAGAGCTTGGTGAAGGAAGCTGGTGGATCCCTTTTGCTTTCTGTCCCTTCCATCATGTAATGACACAAAGTTCCCCCCCTCCAAAGAATGCAGCATTAAGACGCCATTTTAGAAGCAGAGAGCAGCCATCACCAGACAGCCAAACATCTGCCAGCAGCTTGGACTTCCCTGCCTCCAGAACTGTCAGAAATATATTTATGTTTTCTATAAATTACCCAGTCTCAAGCATTTTGCTGTAGCAACATAAATGGACTTGACTCTTTATAATGGACTGAATTTTCCTAGATTTAGTCCTAAATCTGTAAAACTGAACATATAACTGATGAAATGGAAAACATTTAAAAACTAAAAAATCTGTTTTGAGGGCTCAAGAGGTCAGAAGGCTACAGCAACGTCATCCAAAATACACAACTGTTGCTCCTATTTAATGAACAGGAGCAGCAACATCAAAAAAAGAAATAGCTCCTCCAAAATAGGTTTAATTTACCTCATTTTAAAGTGGATTTTCAGGCAGTTGGAGTTGGGACCAACAGGCGGAGCACAGAGGATTTTCAGGGCAGTGAAAATAGTCTGTATTGAGACTGCCAGGTGGAAATGGGTTCCCAGAGAAATTCCAACAGGCCTGTGCACTGGGATGAGTGTGCACTGGGGTGGAGCCACAGAAGTTCATGCCATTTGCAGCAAGGAAAAGCCTGGCCCTTCCTCTTCCTGGGTGAAACCTGGAATTCGATCTGGGAGGCAGGAAGCACACTAGCAGGGACTCTGGTTTTTCAGAGTCCTTGTTTCCCTTTTTTCCTTTTTGCCCGATAAATTCCATTATTCTCACCCCTCAAAGGGTCTACAAGCCTAATATTTCAGGGCTATGTCACAAGGACCCAGCTCTTAGCTGCACTAAGGAGTAAGTCCTACAACAGCTTTGGTGCCCAATGTTTAGAAGTGAATGAAATGGGGACTCAAAACCTCTCACTGTCCTTTCTAACCTTTTTCATCCTTGGACTTCTAAGGGTAGGGGAAACTGTGCTCCTACCTCTGTCACTCCCAGGGGTCGGGGCATTTCCATGGCCTTTTCCTTTCTTTTTTGGGATAGACAGGCAAGCAGGGGCTTCTCACTCCTCCTTCCCTCCTGGTGTTAGCTGGGGGTCCTTGCTCCCAGAGCTCCCAAGATGGTGGTGGGCGCTTCCAAAATGGCGGCGGGCGGCTCTCAAGATGCTGGCAAGCCTCGTGTTCTCTGACTTGGGGTTCTCGGCCTCACAGATTCCAAGGAATGGAATCTTGGGCCATGCAGTGAGTGTTATAGCTCTATTGGAAGCCGTGGGTCACGGAAGAGAACCGTGGAACCCAGTGACTAGTGTTCAGCTCGAATAGCACAAACCTGGACACTTAGCCATGCAGGAACAATGGCAAGCCTTTAGCCCGATCCGGAGTGGCAATGGGCGCCTCACTGGATCAGGAGCACAGCAGACACCCTGCTGGATCCAGAGGATGGAAGTCAGCGGCGGGTCTGCGACGGCGGCAAACAGCAGTGGTGGACGGCGAGCAAAAGCTCAGCTTGAGCCGTAACAAACATAGACCAGAAGAGAGTGCAGCTGCAAGATTTAATAGAGTGAAAACAGAGCTCCCATACAAAGGGAGGGGACCCAAAGAGGGTAGCCGCTGCCTGCTCCAATGCCTGGGTTTATATCCCTATCATTGTCCCTCCTGCTGTGCTCTCAGGCAATAGATTCTTGGCTACTCTTTACCTCCTGTTTTTGCCTAATTAGAATTTTAGTGAGCTCTCCTTATTACCTGATTGGTCAGGTGTGAACTAAGTTGCAAGCCCCTTGTTTAAAGGTGGTTGTGGTCACCTTCCCAGCTAGGCTTAGGGATTCTTAATCAGCCTAGGAAATCCAGCTGGTCCTGTCTCTAACTGGCTGGGGCTGGGGAATGCCACGAGATCTTCCCCTTCCCCTGCCAAGGGGTTCAACTCCAACAGATAGTAATTAAGTTTTTCTCCCTGGTGGAGCAACCAGTTGTATAAGAATAAGATGCTCTTCCTCAGGCATTTTTAAACTGTTTCTTTTCTTCCCCTTCTCCAACCCACCAGCAGTTAACTTTTAAGTGAGGTTTTTCCTTCAGAAGATGTTTTACTAGGCTAGGAATGATAAGGATCACTGTTTATATCCTCTGTAAAGTTTTGTGAAAAAGGATTTGTGAGGCTGATCTTCAGCTGTAGCCAATCTGGTGTGCTTTGCATGTCTGCATGGTTCGTAGCAAACTTCGCTGCAGGCCTCCATCTTGTTCTACATCCTGGGGGTGCGGCAAGGCTTTGTTTAGCAATCCTGCCTTAGGGAATAAGTCCTTTCTGGTTTGATATCTGTATGTTTTCCTAGCCTGCTCTCTTACAGGGCTCCACCAGGGGATTGAGTTTTCTCCTACCTGTCTGCGTAGCTGTATGTGTTGTGTGTATGATGTCTGTAAAAAGAGCTCTAATTAATTTGACCTAAAGAAACACAGCGCTTAGATCAAATATTTTTTAAAGGGAAGATAAAAGCTGTGGTACCTCTCAGTTCACGTGACTTTAATCTTTGAGAAAAAAATAAAATAGCCTTAAAGATTATTGGTTAAAAGCAGATGCCATCAAAATGTAAATAGTAGACTAAATTATGCAAGTTAGATGTAAAGTTTGCGAAGTGTTTTGAGGTTATAAGCTGCTTTTGGGGTGTTGAGAACTATCTGACTTGCCTGATCCACAACTGTTAAGGCCTGGGGACATATGGAACTAACCACGCCTTCTATTATGCTGGAAGGAGTCAAATCTTGGTTGTACCTGGCACACAATTAAAACAACTTACCAGGTTTTACATTAAAGTTAAAATTGCTAGGAGTTACCATTATAACATGTAACTGAAACTACTGGAAATATATTTACATGCAAGGTGTGTAAGAACAGTAAAATGTGTTTTTTAGTAAAAGGTTATAAGAAGGCATGGAAATGTAAGTTTTTGCCTAGGGATAAAGGATTGTTTTAAATTAGATAAGATAAAGCTGAAGGGTCAAACAAGTGGTGAAAGGATTATAAGAATTAATCTTGCAGAAGAGGTTCTCTGTTTCAACATATTGACTAAATTCAAAAAAGGTATTATATATTTTTTCTGTAAATTGAGCATTAAAATAAAAGCACATCTTTAGCAAAATTTGTAAAGGGTTATAAAAAGGTTTTTGCTTCTTTAAAATTTTGGAGTCATCATTTTGACAAAATAAATAACTTATGGTAATATGAAATTCTATTTCATAATATCAAGTGGTTTGAACTTCTAACATATTTAATAGGCTTCCCAAAATCAAACTTCAGTTTTGAAATTGTCTTTCCTGATGCCGGGCTTTTTGGATGGATCAGAGGGCCCCTGAAACATGCAGAAAACAAGTAAACATGGTTATTTGACATACTTAGTCACATGGGATTGCCAAGATGATGTTCAATCTTCTTTAGGTTATATTTTGGTGAATAATATATGTTCCAAAATTATATGGGACTTCTAAAATTCTAATGTCTAAGTATATGCTATCAATCATAATTAAGGTTGTAAACCACAGAGATAACCAAACTTCTTTGTCAATTGTGTTTCTAACCATCCTGGACATTTTGCTATTGACAATTATTATCTTGTTTTAATCCTTTTCAAAAGATGGTTTATTATAAGCCATAGGACTGTGACAGGTGCTCTCAAATACAGGTTTCTGATAAGTTTGGAGATTGTGACATTGGAATAAAGGAAAAATGTACAAGACTCAAAAGAGCTGAAGTGTTCATGAATATCAGGCAAAACGAGTTCACTAAATGGACTGAACTCAGGAAACTAAAGCAAATCTTTTTGACTTTTGCTTGGAACACTGCTGATCCATGTTTTGTTTTTCAAAGTCAAGGAAACTTATTTTGCACTATTTACGGCCTTTAATTAAGTTACACTCCTGTGAACAAAATTTGGAGTATGTTTGTTTCTCTCTGCCTGGTTCCTCTAGAATTTGGAAACTATGTGTGAGTATTCTTAACTTATGGCAATACAGTTATTTGCATCAGTGCAATAAGGATCCATTTTTTTTTCAACAGTATGCAATTGGAGAAACTGGTTATTTTACCAAGGCTTTGACTGGAAGGGTATGCTTCCCTTTAAGAAGTCAATCTTGACTTGCAGAGCTGCTAAAAGCCCTGTAGGAAGAACTGGCCTCATACCCTTGCCTACACAGTCCCTGTACAGGGTTCCTGGCCTGTGGTCAGTAAAGAATGTCACTTTGTAACAGGCCTAGGAGCTCCAAGTTTATCTTGGGACCTTAAAAGGAGAGAATCACCCAACTTACAGGTATTTGAGGATACAAACCCATGGCTGGGCTCAGCTTAAAAAGTCTCACCTGAGATTCCTTGTGGACCAGTGTTCCATCAAAGCCAATCCAAAAGGACTATGTACAAATAACTATTCTTGCTGCACCTTATGCAAATAATCAGGCCAAGTATAAGACTAAAGTCCATTTTGGAAACCACTTAGTCCTATGATGGTTTGTGTTTTTTAAACAAAAATGATGACTGGTGACAGAAAAATTAGGTTTCAAAATTTATCATACATTTGTTATTAAATTCTAAACTCATTAGTTGTTTTTAAGTTTTCACCTACATTTTAGATTAACCCTACTTGTTCCTGTGAACCAACCAGCAATCTCCAGCTGCAGCTCAGAAAGAACACAGGGATGGGTAATGTAAAAATCTGGATCAATATTCTAGTTCTGAGCAGTTATCCTGCAAATCCTGCCAGGTGATGGGAATAAATAGTATGCCCATCACTTGGAGGTTTCCTTTATGGGAAAGTAAGACCAAGGGAGCTAAACAAAGCCAAGCACAATGCACCCAAATCTTAGCAGCATAACTATAGCCACGAGTTATCTGGATGTATCACAAGACATCCTTTTCTCTCCCTTGTTGGAGGACTCAATTCCACAGCTTCACCTTAGCATTTGTCTTATGGTAATAAGTCCGTGCAAATCCCTCTGAGACATATTTCTGTCCCAAACTCAATTCCAAGCTTCAGGTCAAAGCCCTAGGAAGGAAAACTGGATCTGAGGGATCCAGAGACAGATGATAACGGAAAAGGCACAACACAGGTGAACGTGGCTGATTCCTGTCAATTAAGCCACGCTTCCCATTTCATAGATAAAGGCCATGCTAGTATTCATGGCATAAATGAGGTCTAGGGAATTCAAGGCTATGGACAGCAGGGGAAACAGAACATATGTGGGAAGAGTGGATAATTCCCACCCCCTAGGCCCCGTTAACATGAGTGAAAGTCACTTTAACATCCATGGCGGTACCCGCCAAGGTCGCCAGGACTCAGGGATACAAGGACGAAAGAGGAGAATGCTCATCCTTCTCTCACGTACCCCGGGTATCTGCTAAAAAGAGAAGGGAACCAGGGATGCCTGCTCCCCTCTTTCTAGATGGGTGGCCTTTCTTCTTCAGTTTGTACCCCTTTCAAATGCATCCTGAGCTCCTAGGACTCTTTTGAAAAGAGCCTTTATCTTTCTCCCTCCTTTGTCCTCTCTTCACAGATAGGTAATTGTGTCTCCAAGCTACAGGACACTCCCCTCAGATGCACCCTTCGCACTAGGAAAAGTTAATTTCCCAAACCTTAAACTGGTTGGCTTAGTATTGGGCTCAGGGGAAGGGAATCCAGAAGCCCAACATGCTGGCAAAAGGGTAAAAGTGTTTATTACCAGTCAGGCTTTTGACCTCCCTATTGCTGTGCTAACTGGTAAAAAGCCTTGGGATCTTTGAGCTGTCCTTACCTCTCCCTTTGTTTCGTTTTGACATATATTTTTTAATAACCCGGTTTGTCTGTTCTTGCCTTTAGGCCATCAAACTCCAAATGGTCATGCAACCGGAGCCTCCGATGATGGCCCCTTCTGCTGGGAACCCTTAAACAGGCCTATGAAGAAGCTCTGACTGCCATTTTCCCAAAATAGTGCTCCCTGTCATCAGGAAGCAGTTAAGATGGGTCTTCGTCCTTATCCTTATCCTTCTTCTAACGGCAATTAGATGTACTTTAGAGGGGAATGAGACAGCCAGGTGGGAAGGGGTCCCCAGAATCCAACTGGCCTGTGCACTGAGAGGATTGCATACTGGGGTGGAGCCAAAGTTTATTATACATCTGCCCAAACTCACAGAATGTACAAGAGTGAACCCTGACATGAACTATGGACTCTGGGTGATTATGATGATTCAGTGTGGGTTCACCAATTGTTCACCACTCTGGTGGCAGACAATGAAAACGGGAGGTTGGGCATGTGCAGGAGCAGGAGGTTTATGGGAAATCTCTGTGAAGATTATTTTCTTCTTCATTTTGCTGTGAGCCTGAAATTGCTCTTAAAAAGGTTTAAATTTAAAAAAAAAGTTATCAAAATGTTTTTAAAAAAGAAATAAAGGATTTCCAGAACCTCACATGAGTAAAGAATGTGGTCTCTTTATCTTGAACTTACAACTTTATATAGGAAACCAGGTTTAGAATATCAATCAATCAATATTTAAAACCACTATGTAAAATGCAGTTTACTTTTTCCTGATTCTGTAAAGCAGTATAAGAGGTGCTATCATCAAGGAGATAAAACAATCAATCATCTAACATATTTTGATATACATTTCCTTGTCTAGGAATACAACATAGTATAAGAGGCACCACCCAAAACATTAAAATGAAATATAACAGCTAAATGAATGACAGGGGGAGGAAAAAGAAAAGCCAACTTACCAGTTTGGTGGATAGTTAGAATGTTTAGGGACGAAATAAAATACTTGGCCAGAGCTTTAAAGAAATGTAAGAGTAAGCGTTAGATAAAAGAATAAAAATTGAGTATTTCATGCATGAGAAATAATATGCACAAAGATGACAATACACATATAAAGTTTGGGGGAATCTGAGTAAAGCAATTTAACTAAAGCAAATTTGCTGAAACAAATCAGTAAGGTTAGAGTGGTGATACACAACAGAGTCTTGCCAAGACCAGTCACTCTGGCTTCTGTGTAAAAGACTAAGACAGTAGATGTTAAAGGTTGAAATAGCTATTTGAAAATGAATGAACTAGTCCCAGTGAAGGTCCTGAAGGGTGGATAAAAGTTGCTACATTGTGAGAAAAACTGTTAACACAGAAGGGGCTGATCTAGGGTAAGGACAATGCAGAATACACTGGGAGGATGAAAAGCTAAGATTTTTTTTTTCTTTTTTTTGGTCCAAAAAAGGAAAACAATCTTAGGGACATATGATTATAAACAAAAAAAGAAAAAGGAAATGGGAGAATAATAACTTCAAATGTCACAGGAAAAATATCTAACAATATGCTCTATATGTGTTCAGGATTAGGCCTCAATTTACTCCAATCACTGTATGATAGGCACTGCAATCCAACGCAACATTTAATTAGGCATGAAATATCCAATTTATACATCTAATAGGAAGACACACAGTCTTGCACATTTGAAGAAACTTCAAGTGCTCAGAAATTATCCACTGTATTAGCCTTTTGCTTCTTCTGTCTTCTTTCATGCTACTTGCCTTTTGACAAGTTCACTTCTGGATAGCACTTCTACCAAAAATGTTCTGAAACAGAGAGAGTGAAGGGTGGGACAGAAAAAAATGAAACAAAAATTCAAATCTACAGGAGCAATTCCATGCGTCTGTAACACAGGAATAAACAGGGGACCTTGTCATGATTTATCTTCAGGCAATATTTTGGTATAACTACATATAATGTAATAACACATTATACACCATTAAATACTAAAACAATACAAAAAACCTACAATTATAAATTTCAACAAGAAATAACATAACTATAATGACATATACCCAAAACAAACCCAGGAAAACAGTGTTTCTTAATTTGCTCAGAAATCTCTATGAAGCTGAAATTAACTGTCTGAGAAACAACTGAAAGTAGAGTTCTTGATAGTAAAGACAATACATTTCAGTCTTGACCCTTCATATTGGTCACACCATTGTCCCTTGATCTCAAATAGTTTTTTGAAATTAGGCTTTTTTTGTTATGTTTTTCATACTCAAAGATCTGAAACATCTTATTAAAATTTCTTAATTTTTTCTATTTAACATTTTCTCAATATGTCTAAAAGAGAGCAAAGGATTGATAAAAATTTTACATTCACAATGCAATTTTAAAAATCTTATGTTCTCATTTGTTTTAAATTCTCAACTTAGCAGTCTCCACACTGTTATCCTGCTCTTTTCCCCTGGAAACCTAAAAAGAACCCTGAGATATTAAAATTATAAATAAATCTCTTATTTAGAGAATTTCTTGAATGTTTATCACTTAGATTCGTTATTTTTCTTACTTGACTCTCCTAGATATTTCTTATAAGAAGGTTGGAATGAATCATTTTGCTAAAATTAATTCCTTTGTTATGTAAAGGATTAAACCTCTCCATATTTAAAACAAGAGAAAACAAACAATGTTCCTTTGGTAAGTATAATCAAGTTTCTTAAAATACTGGCTATAAGATTTTAGAACAGGCTTATCTCATTTAGTATTGGAGATATGTTCTCATGAATAGGAGCACTAACCGAATAGGTGCTTTTCAGTCATAATTTCCAGGCATAGTATATATTATGTATGATCAACATATAATATTCAATTAGAAGTTACCACCTGATGCCTTTATCTCCTTGCCTTCTTTAGAACTTGTCTAATAGTGTATTTTTCTAGGCCTAGAACATGACCCACCCAGACCTACCTGATGTTTACCCACCTAAAATCTGCATTTTTAATAGCCAGGCATACTTTAATTTCAAAGTAACTCCTTGTTTGATTATGCAGGCTATTTTCTATGAAGCAGACTATAATCAGAAAACAGTGTCAGTGGTAAAAACATCTCCATAGAATAAAGAAAACAAATCTATTGGTAATTGCCACTCAAACTGGTCAGAGCAGCATGGTAAAAAACTCACGGGCAAAAAAAAAAAAAAAAAACCCCACAGAGCTCACTGTAGTGTTTGACATGTCACCTCTAACAAAGATAGTAAATAACACTTTATTAACTTGGAAAAAATGCTTTGACTCAATGTGCTTAGAAATTCCTATTTGACAATAATCTACTGAGGAAAAACGCTATCATTTGGGTGAAGTGTTAACCTGTAGTAGTTATACATACACACAGTACTCTTTAATTTTGTCAGGCAGTAATGTGCTGTATTAGTTATGTTTTATGACTTAATTCTCAGTTGTGTTAGTAAAGATGCTTACTACTTATAAGAAGTATTAATAATAAGTGCTTGGTAAAAATTATAGAGCTTTGTTCAGTTCTAGCTAGAGACAAACTTAAGACTACAGATGGTGTTAAAGAAAGCACAACTCTTACAAAATAGCTCTAAAATAGAGTTGCTTTCTGATTTTCCATATTCATTTTAAGTTTTAGTTATCAAATTTGATAAAGCAATTGGCCATTGAGTCATAGTTTTCACTAGTTTGAGCCAACCCCAAAATTAAAATCTGGGAAACAATCTAATATCAAAATATTAAATTCTTAAATATCTCTCCAAAAAAAGGTTTGGAAACTGTCAAGCACTACCAAGATTATCTTACACAGAATCAAAGTACTAATTAAATGAGGAGGTTCTCTTGAATGTCACAACACAACATTCCTTTTAACACAGTATCACCCCACTATTAATGCAATTTTCAAATACAATGTATCTTAAATATTAAATTTATGAAAATTTCAAAGTAACAGACTTCCTTATAGATGAGATACACAATAACAATTTTGATATTCCTTTAAGCTGTTTAAAAGTGATGCTAACTATATCTTTAAAAAAGTCTATTTAACGTAAAAGATTTTGGATAAAAACCAGTAAGTTTCTTAATGATCCTGAACCAGGTAATAAAATGTTGAGGATGCTGAAGAAGGTTAAATCCAGGTAAGCTTCAAGAACAGAAGTCATCCATCTTTAAATATTAGACATTTGCTGGCCAGAAGGCGAAAGTAAGACTTCAGGATATATTGTGGGTCCTTGCAGTTCACATTCTAGTATGTTGGCACAAAATAAAGATAGGTCCCAAAACCTATGGGTATTTTCAAGTTTAGTGTTTTAGAAATATATAATCCTTGAACCAACCACAAAATAATGTATGGCTTATATTTACTTTGTCAGTTTAAGTAATAGAAAAAATGCCTATTTGTTCTGTGGTGACTATTCATTGTGGTGACAGTTTCATTTTCCTCTTCACATTTTCGGTGACCGTTCTCCATTCGTATCATCAACCAGGTCTCTCAGGCGAGATAAATGGTGCAAAGCCCTTCATTAAAAAGTATAAAACACATTATAAACCAGTTATTAAGAACTGAATAGCCAATGCAGACAGCAAAAAAATAAATAAAGTTGACTATTAACTTCAAAATTGGTATGAGAAGTAAATTTATATAAACTTTGAGACTTATTCCTTATAAAACCTTGAGATCTGAATAATTGAGGGTTAAAATAATTTATCTAAAGTTCTATAAACATTTACTTTAAAAATTATATTTTTTGACATTAACTTTTTTTAAGATAGTCTGCCAAGTGCCCTAACAAGAAACAATAGGTATCAGTTGTATCACACTTAACAAGAACACTTTTTTCAAGTAATTTTCACTACAGCTCTGTGAAATGACACCTTTGCTTTTGGTATCCTGTGTATATTAGTTAAGAAGTAAAATACAGAAATTATTTTTAACATTTACATTCAAGATAGCTATTTTTTAAATAGCATTTAAGGATTAGTTACAGATCTGAACAAAACTCATTTTTATTGATCATAGGGGAAGCTGCCAACTACTCCAATAAGTCTATATAATGTGTTGTTATACCAACAACCTAGATTTTTCTCTGAAATAATGCCAAGATTGTATTGCAGGTCTCAGTGGAGAAAACTCAATCATTCCTCAAACCAGGAAAAGAGGCCCTTAACTTTCCAAGCCTTCTCTAATTTATATTTTTCCAGTTTTTCTCTCCCCTATATTTCAGTTCCTGGAGGACCACTCAGAAAACATCAATTAGTCATATTTCAGATCTTTAATAAATAAGAAGGATATTAAGGAAAAACAGAGTGACAATATAGTAATTAAGATGTGCAGGAAGGGCCGGAAGCAGTGGCTCACGCCTGTAATCCATGCACTTTGGGAGACTGGGATGGGCATATCACCTGATGATATGACCACCTGAGGTCAGGAGTTCGAGACCAGCCCGGCCAACATGGTGAAACCCCATCTTTATTAAAAATACAACAGAAAATTAGCCAGGCGTGGTGACTGGCATCTGTCATCCCAGCTACTCAGGAGGCTGAGGCAGGAGAATCGCTTGCCAGGAGGTGGAGACTGCAGTGACCCATGATCGCGCCACTGCACTCCAGCCTCCAGCCTGGGCAACAAAAGCGAAACTCTATCTCAAAAAAACAAAATTAAATTTAAAAAAAAAACATAAGCTGTGTAATAACCTCCAATGTTAGTAATTTCCATTTATGGTGAGCAGAAAGGTAATGACTACAACACTCTATTCTATAGTCTCTAACACACAGTAGTTGTTCAATAAATGTATAATAAACTGCATCTTCCACTTTACCCAGGACAAGGAGATGGAAGGAAACTAGTAGCATTATTTACTGCATGTATATCTATTTCCCTGTACTATACACTTCTTGGATACTTTTACTCAAATGTAATAAGAAGACTCTCAATTCTCTCACCTTTTTTGGCAACTTCAGTTAATTTCTGAGATTCCCACCTTCATTGACTAAGTGACAATAATTCACCCAAAGTTACTAACCAATCAGAGGTAAAATAACTAAAATTTTAAAATATTCAGCTGGGCGTGGTGGCCAGTACTGTAATCCAGCACTTTGGGAGGCCGAGGTGGGTGGATCACCTGAGGTCAGGAGTTCAAGACCAGCCTGGCCAACATGGCAAAACCCCGTCTCTACTAAAAATACAAAAATTAGCCAGGCATGGTGGCACGTGCCTGTAATCCCAGCACTTTGGAAGGCCGAGGCAGGTGGATCACCTGAGGTCAGGAGTTTGAGACAAGCCTGGCCAACATGGCGAAACCCCATCTCTACTAAAAATACAAAAATTAGCCGGGCATGGTGGCATGCACCTGTAATCCCAGCTCCAATGAGTCTTCCTAGAGAACACATATTTCTAATTGAAGAATATAAGAAAACTGAGTATTTAAGGGACTAGACAAGGCCAGACTACTAGCTTACAGTTCCCTATGGCTAATGAAATATATCTTAAAACTGGATAGCCATCCAAATTATTAAAAACAAAAACTGTTATTTGAGGAATGTAAAGAGCCATAATAGGATTTTACCTTAGGAAAGGCCAATAAAGCCTACAAAGTATAATCAGTAACTTTTGAAATATTTTGGAAATATTTTGTAAATTTTGAAATACATTTGAAATATTTGAAGTATGAAAAGATGACCATATACCTAACCAG
This sequence comes from Homo sapiens, assembly GCF_000001405.40. Lineage (NCBI taxonomy): Eukaryota > Metazoa > Chordata > Mammalia > Primates > Hominidae > Homo > Homo sapiens. Next base: position 54,375,996 of record NC_000018.10, on the reverse strand, counting down.
AATATTTTGCCGCCTGGAAAAAGGAATTCTGAGATGTAATTAAATTTAAATTGTCCTTAAAACAGTTAATCTACAGACTGAAAATAACTTTTGTAAGTCTAAGCTTACTTCATTACAGTACAAACGTCTTACTGATAATACTTTAGAAATGTAAAGACAAATTAAGACTGCTCCAGTTAATACAACAGAATTAATAACTAAAGGCCATCTAACAAAACATAAAACTTACTCTCTCTAAAAATGAAACTCCATATACAGGTAAGACTATTGATTGCTTATAGTAGAAAAAAAGTTACTATTAAAAAAATTCTAGCAAATGGTAAAAGCACTTATAGATCAGTATCGATTTTTGTGGTGATTAAATGACTTACAATCCACTGTTAGTTTTCACCAGGAAAAACATCTAGGATATGTACATTAACTCAGAAAACACATATAGGTCTGTGACAAGTGCAGTATAATGCTTTAAAGAGCAATGGAAAACTTATGGTCATTCACCTCAAATTTTAAAGCAGAATGAAGTCTTCATACTAGATGATCAACTGAGGCCCTGTTCTTAGTCTCAATGAATAATTCATCACTATCATTAGTGAGAGTAGTGTTAAAAATACAGACTTTCAAATCACACTACCTGATCTGAATCCCGCTTCTTTTACTAGCTATGGCAAGTTACTTTACTACTCCATGCCTATTCTCCGATCTGTATTATGAAAATAATAATAGTACTTACTTCATAAGGTTGTGAAGATCACATGAATTATATTCAATAGCACTTAGAATACTGAAATTTGGTAAACATTCAATGTTAGCTATTACTATCATTATTCACTGAATTCTATTAGGTATGAAACATTATACCCCAGTACTATGGCAAGCTACAAACAAAGGTGCATTATTTATACCCTAAAGATAATAAATTAAGTAGAGAGAAAAAAGTAATCATACATGATACATTTTAACTATGAAAACTATATACACATTTGTGACAATTAGATTCGTAAGTTTACATGTCTAGTGTTTTATTTTCCACCAGTTCCTTAGATCACAGAAGCCTAAGCAAATTCTCAAAGTACAAAAGGTAGCCAAGTGAAATGGTGTGACTAGAGTAGAAACTTTTAATCTCAGTATTTCCTAAGTTCAGTATTCCATCTTCTGAGGACACTTCATAGTCACACAACAAACTCCAAAATAAATACCCTTCTCTTCTGTCAATATCATGACTATAGAAACAACTTGTATTTTTCTCCATTTTATTATTTAAGACACTGTAACTAAGAAAATTAGACCTATCTTTATATCCAGGTCATTATATCTACTTTAGATTTCTGTAATGATGTTCCAAATCACGATCCATTTATTATTAAATTTATTCTAGAGAGAATATATGAAAACACATTTCATACAAGTTACTGTTATAGGATACTCACAAAAATACTATCATAAATTGTTGCTATTACTACTCAAAAATGAGTCATATCCATTATATTTTAGAGGTCTAAGGCTATCTCATTAGGTCCTTAGAACACTTTGAATAGGAAAAAGCACAAGTTTAAAAGAAAACAATGTTTTTTAGTGTAAACAGTGTGCTCCAAGAAGCTTAAATATGCCTAGTAGTGCTACTCTTAAAACTACTTACTTCTACCCTGTAACTTTACATATGTCAAAGAAATGGCTAAGATGGATTTGTATCCATATTAGTAAAGAATACTTACTTCTGAAGTGACCTAGTAATAGGAATCATACTTTCCTTCAACTGTAATTTAGAGAAATCATCTTCTGAAACCTATTATTAAAAACACCAAATATAACAAAATATTAAAATTATATAACTACAAAATTAAATGGTATTGAAAATGTGATTAAAACATTAAAAAATATTTTCTACATTTCCAAACAATTCTAATTTTCAAGAGTATTAAATATTTTTATTTTCCATTTACTGTAAAAACACTACAACTAACAGCCATTTTTCAACTGTCCTAAAGTATACTTCTACACATATGTCCATTAAAAATCAAGTCTTCGCTTAAAATTATGACTTTATTGAACAGGCTTATATCTCAATGATGTTTAGAATGAGAGGGGAAAGAAAGATAGATTACATTCTACATATTAATGTTATGATTATTAGAATGTAAGGACAGAAATTAAGAAATACAACTCAAATGAGCAGACTATGAAGGTTCTCAAAAGCTGATCCACTCACTTGTAATGAAAACTCAATTTCACAGATCTACTGAATAACAATAAAACAATGAGCCATCATTTATTGAGCACTTACCATGTACCAAGCACTATACTAAGTACTTTATATAGTTTGTCTCAATTTGTCTTCTCAACAACCTCACTATACAGAAAAGGAAATTGATAAATGAAATAAGCCCAGCACAGAAAGACAGACACTGAATAATAATCTCACTTATATGTAGAATCTGGATGTGGGGACGGGAGTTGCAGAGATGTTTTTCAAAGGATACAACATTTTAGTTAGGCGAGAAGAATAAGGTCAAGAGATCTATTGTACAACATGGTGACTAAAATTAAAAACAACATATCGTATACTTGAAAATTACTAATGGAGCAGGTTTTACATGTTCTCCACAAAAAGTATGTGAGGTAATTAGCTCCCTTAGCCATTTCATGATGTTTCAAAACATCATGTTGTACACCCAAAATATATATATATTGTCAATTAAAAATCAATAATTTTTTAAATAGGAAACTGAAACTAAAGAGGTTAAATGATTTGCACAAATATTGCACTTGCTAGTAAGTGACAGAATTCACAATCATATTTGGGAAAATATAAACTCTATGTTCTTAAACACTATACTTTTGTGGGAAAAAATTCATCATATAGAATGGCAGCCTAAAACAGAAACAGATTTTCAAATTCCCGGGAAATACACAAATTGAAAAAATAAAATGGCTCTAAAATAAAACTTGATATAACTGTATTCATAACAGCCAATGAACACACAGTAACAAAATTAAATTTCAAAGGAGAAAGGTGTGTGAAGGAATCTAATGTTGAAAAAGTTTTCTAGGCCTCCTCGAATATAACTACCAGAAGATGGGCCACATAGATTAATTTTGTAGAGGATTACAAAACTCTTACAACCCTTTGATACTATAGTTGTAACACCATCATAACTAAATAAGATGTTGGATTTATAACCATAATAGAACAATCTGTTTAGAGATAAACACCTACAGAAATCAAACAGAATTAAACGTGAGTACATTACTTCCTAACAAAAAAAAACTACTGCCACTTACAACATGTGTAATGTGGCATGCTTACTAACATAAAACTATAAGTAGGTCTATTAAAAGATGTAGAAAAAAATCTTTATACAAATTCACAAATCTCAATTCATAAATCATGTTTGTGCTTACTTGTTTAATCTCTTCTTTTGGATCTGTGGTCTTATTTTGATTAAAACGTTCTTGTACTGCTTGAAGGTTAAATAACATTTGTTTCAGGGCTTCAACAGGACCATGATGTTTGCCTCCAGAGAGAGTACAGCTCTAAGGTTAAAACAGATGATAGTATAAAGTTAACCATCCAAGCTCAGGGAAAGAAGAGTTTTATTTTGTATTAATTTCCCCAATAGAAAATTAATGTAAAACTCCAAACAATGTATGTCAATAAAGTATTTTAAAAAATCAAAATTGTAACTCACCACTTCCCCATCCCCAGGCCCCAGGTGAAGTTACTTAAAGACAATCATGATTAACAGTTTGGCATATCCTTTCTAGTCATTGCTGTTTTGAAATAAATAGTGCACGTTTATATTTATGACAAATTAATTTCGCACATTTAAAATCACAAATTGTAAATGAAATGAAAGGTCTTCAGAGGACAGGTAAACCAACATGTTCTTTACAGCTGATCAAGGACTAAAATTTCAAATACAGTATTCTCTGCACACTTTAAAATATGTTTTTATAACAGAATGCTAGCTTTTCACCTCTTCATGGGCCATACATTCCTTCTACCTAAATAACACTCATAGCTCGATTACCCCTGGACTTATTTGTGTTCAAAGAACGCAGCAGTACTTAAGACACATAAGATGGTCAGGATTCTTTTAAGATAATCGGTGAGGGATATTTTAAAATTTCTTTTTAAAAGTCTTACCAGTCTATTATTTTACATCTTTCAAATGAGTTTCTGTGTCCTAACAGCTATCTACCAAGTAACAAATAGGACTGTACAGATGTCTGTAATTTAATATATTTCAGCATAGACTGTGCACCATAAGTACTACTTAAACTTCAATTCTATAGAAAGTTGTTGATTAGCATAATATACTCAAGGTAAGCAGTATGGTTAAAAAGATTTTAAAGACACTTCCACAGTTATAGAACAGGATATAAGAAATGGAGCGGAAAGGTAAAATGCTATAGCCATTGTAGAAAACAGTATAGGAATTCCACAAGAAATTAAACATAGAATTACTGAATGATCCTGCAATTTCCCTCTTAGGTATATATCCAAAAGAAGTGAAAACAGGGACTTGGGTAGATATTTGTATACCCATGTTCACAACAAAATTATTCACAACAGCCAAAAGATGCAGATAACCCAAGAGTCCAACAACAGATGAATGAATAAACAAAATGTGGTACATACATACAATGGAAAACTGTTCAATCTAAAAAGAAAAGGAAATTTTGACAAATGCTACAACATAGATGATCCTTAAAGACATTATGCTAACCAAAATAAGCCAGTCACAACAAGATACACATATGATTCTTCTTACACGAGGTTCCTATAGTAACAAGTCCATAGGGACAGAAAGTAAAAAGCTACTTACCAGGGACTAGGGAGAGGGGGAAATAGGGAGTTAGAGTTTAATGAGTACAAAGTTTCAGTGTGAGAAGATAAAGTTCTGGTGATGGACGATGGTGATAGCTACACACAATGTGAAGGTACTTAATGCCACAGAACTGTACACTTAAAAATGATTAAAATGGTAAATTTTATGTTATGTATATTTTAACACAACAATATAAGAAACATTTTAAAAAGAAAAAAAAAAAAACAGGGTAAAAGGATCCAGTTAGGATATACTCCTACACCCTGGGAGATAGCATCTGAGGCATAATCTCCAAATGATCTGCATCCAGCCACTATCTTATTTTAGAACTTCGGCTGCCTTATGCCAACCATAATAGTTACAAAAGGCTGCCTCTGGAATTTATGTCTGAGCTAAGTGACTTTTCATGCAAAGCAGTGGTCAGAGTATCAAAAGAAGACAGAAAACTAGAAAACATATGAACTGTTTGTGCCAATGTTAATGAATGTTTTAAAAATATTGTATGGATAATACAATTTGTTCTGAGACTTGTCATTGAAACCTGCTAGTAAATGTCTCCGGGTACATCTCTGTATATCTTTGACTCTTAGAACCATAGTGACATTTCATATATTCAAAAAACAAATTATTTAAACCAAACAGAACAAGAGGACAACCCAATATATAGTCATCGCTGTTTTCTTGGGAGACTGTTTCCAGGACACTTTGTGAATATAAAAGTTCAAGGAAGTTCAAGTACCTGATTATAAAATGGCACAGTATTTGCATATAACCTATGCATATCTTCCTGTAGACTTTAAATCATCTCTAGATTACTGATAATAAATACTACAATGTCAACAGTATGTAAATACTTGCACATTGTGTTTTAAACTTTTTTTTTTTTTTTTTGAGACAGAGTCTCGCTCTGTTGCCCAGGCTGGAGTGCAATGGCGCAATCTTGGCTCACTGCAAGCTCCGCCTCCTGGGTTCACATCATTCTCCTGCCTCAGCCTCCAAAGTAGCTGGGACTAAAGGCGCCCGCCACCAGAACCGGCTCATTTTTTATATTTTTTAGTAGAGACAGGGTTTCACCGTGTTAGCCAGGATGGTCTCGATCTCCTGACCTCGTGATCCGCTCGCCTCGGCCTCCCAAAGTGTTAAATTATGTTTTATTATTGTATTGTTATGTTTATTATTCTTCTCCAGATTTTCAATTTGCAGTTGGTTGAATCTACAGATGTGGAACCCACACATCAGAGGGCCAACTGTATACAAAGACAAATGAACCAACTAGCAGTATTATAAATAAACAGCACAACCACACCAAAGAGAGTTGGGAAGAAAATAACCTAAGTAACTCTGGAAAACAGTATTTTGTTATGATATTATAAGGCTAAAGACGAAAAGAGCAATATTCAGCTGGGCATGGTGGCTCATGCCTGTAATCCCAACATTTTCGGAGGTTGAGGCGGGTGGATCACTTGAGGTCAGGAGTTCAAGACCAGCCTGGCCAATATGGTGAAACCCTGCCTCTACTAAAAATACAAAAATTAGCCGGGTGTAGTGGTGGGTGCCTGTAATCCCAGCTACCTGGGAGGCTAATGCAGGAAAACTGCTTGAACCTGGGAGGCAAAGTTGCAGTGAGTAGAGATTGTGCCACTGCGCTCCAGCCTGGGAGACAGAGTAAGACTGTCTCCAAAAAAAAAAAAAAAAAAAAAAGCAATATACAAATAATGTAATCTAGTTAGTACATTTGTTAATTACAGGAATATGGGTTAGCAATTCTAAAACCACTTTGCATGTATAATAAGACTGAACAAACAAGTAAATTTACTGTAGATAATGAAAGGATTATCATGGGGAGAAAGTTACAAATAGGGAATGGGAAAAGCTAAAACAAACTGCAGTATTAGACTGGAATCAGAGGTATCAATACTCATGATTTTATACATATATGTGTTTATTTATATGTAAACACATATACACATATATGTACACAGATAAACAGATAAAGAAATGTACATATGTGAGTATATGTGGGTTGGCAAACTTGTTTCCTAGGTCTTCCTGCTGACATAGTTTAGAATGAACAACACCCTAGTAGCACTCAGCACAACTAATGCCTAGATCCTAGTTTCTAAGTGCCATTTTCCAATACAAAGAACCATGGCTCCTCAAAGAAATGCTCAAAAAAGAATGCAGACATATAAAAAGGCACAGGAGCCAACATGAAGGAACTCCTAATGGCCTAACCTGAAACAATTTGAACAGCAGCGTAACTAATTATACTGCATTCTAAACCAAGAATAAAATAAATTAGTGAATCTGTACTAATATAATTTGCTAAACAAATATAAAGATAGTTTTTCATTATACAAGGTTTTCAGTTAATAAATATAGAAAAAAAGATAGGATTCACAAATGGATACTAAAATTAGTAGACAAAAGTTTGAGGAGAAACAGGATATCTGCAAAGTCTCAAAGTGCTTTATAATATATTTAATAATTACAAGGAAAATCGGTATCTTTAGTAAGGATAAAGATCACCTTAACCAAGTGTTCAAAGTTAATACAACCAGTTTTTACATATTATATCTTTATTATATATTACTATTACTGCATTAACTTATCAATATATTAATGATATCAATATATAATGAGCCCTCTGAGATAATGCAGTAAGAAGAGCACATCACTTCTTCAGTATTTTTGCCAAAAATGCATAACCTCATTCTAATCATGAGAAAACTTCAGACAAATCCAAACAGAAAACCTCTACAAAATAAGTGACTGATCCTAAAGACCTGCAGATGATCTGGCAAACAAAGAATTCAAAATAGCTGTTCTAAGAAAACACAGCAAACATCAACAAAACACACAGAAAATAATTCAGAAAGATGCCAAGATACCAACAAACAAACACAAGAAATATGAAAAACCAAGAAAATATGACACCACCAAAGGAATATAATAACTCTAGTAACAGACTCCAATGAAAAGGAAATCAGCAAATGGGTGGAAAAAGAATTCAAAATCATGTTTTTTTAAAAAAACTCAATGATACAAAAAAACACAGACAGATAATTTGACCAAATCAGGAAAACAATTCACAATATGAGCAACAAAGTCAACAAACAGAAATCATAAAAAAAGAACCAAACAGAAAATACACAGTGAAGAATTCGATGAATGGAATTTTAAAATACAATAGAGAGCTTAATAGACTTCATCAAATAGACAAAAGAATCTCCGAACTTGAGGATAAGTCATTTGAAATTACCCAGTCAGAGAAGGAAAAAGAGTAAAGAAAGCCTACAAGACTTAAGGATACTATAAAATGAACAAATGTTATTATCATGGGAATTCCACAAGGAGAAGAGAAGGCAAAAGGCACAGAAAACCTAATGAAATCATAGCTGAAAATTTCCCACGTCTGGGAATACATATGACATCCAAATCCAGTAAGCTCAATGGCCCCCAGTAGATTTAAGCCAAAAACATCCTCCCAGAGGCACACTATGGTTACACTGCAAAGGCAATTCTAAAAACAGCAAGAGAAAACCATGAAGTCACATATAAGGAATTCCCATTAGACTGACAGTAGATATCTCTGCAGAAACCTTAAAGGCCAGGAGAGGATGGATGATACATTCAAAGGGCTGAAAAGAAAAATCGCAAGCCAAGATACTATATGGAGCAAAGCTTTCCTTCAGAAATGAAAGAAATAAACTCTTTCTTACATAACCAAGACCAACAGAATTCACCACTACTAGACCTGCCTTACAAGAAATGCTCAGGGGAATCCTACATCTGGAAGCAAAAAGATAAGCACCATCATGAAAACACATGGAAATATAAAACTTACTGGTAGAGCAGATACACAAAGGAAAAGAATAAAACATTACTACAGAAAACTACCAAACCATAATGATAATATGAGGGGAAAAAAGGAAGAAAGAACATATAAAATGACCAGAGTACAGTAAACAAAATGACAGGAATACGTCCTCACTTATCAATATTAACCTTGAACGTGAACAAACTGAATTCCCCACTTAAAATTTGAGATGGACTTCCAGAATGGATAAAAATAACATTGTCCAACTATATGTTGCCTACAAGAAACTCCATTCACCTTTAAAGATACACATAAAGTGAATGAATGGAGAAAGATATTCCACACAAGTGGTAACCAAAAGGAAGTAGGAGTAGCTTTACTTATACGAGACAAATCAGACTAAGTCAACAACTGTAGAAAGAGACAAAGAAGGTCATTATTATGGTTTAAGATTTCACATTACAACTTACCCTTAAGAAATAATCACTTGTGGAATATAAATTAGTATTATCAATTATGGACTTTTTTTTTATTAAACACTCAAGCAATCCTCCAACCTTGGCCACCCAAAGTGTTAGTATTACAGGTATAAGCCACCACACACAGCCAGACACAGTAAAACAGTATGAAGATTCCTCAAAAAATTAAATATATAATAGAACTACCATATGATCCAGCAATCTGACTACTGGGTATATATCCAAAGGAAATGAAATCAATATGCCAAAGAAATATCTGCACAACCATGTTTACTGATGTTTACTGCAGCATTATTCACAATAGTCAAGATATAGACTCAACCTAAGTATCCATCAACAGATAGAAGGGTAAAGAAAATGTGACATATATAGACAACAGAATATTGTTCAGCCTTCAAAAAGAAAGAAATCCTGTCATTTGTGACAAAATGTATGACTCTGGAAGACATTATGTTAGGTAAAATAAGCTAGGAGCAGAAAGATAAATATCATAGTTCTCACTTATATGGGAAAGCTTACTAGCTGATCTCATAGAAATAGAGAGTAGAATAGTGGTTACCGGAGACTGGGAAAGGTAGGAGGGAGGTAAGGAATAAGGAGAGATTGGTTTAAGGATAAAAAAATTACAGCTAGATAGAAAAAATAAGTCCTAGTGTTCTAAAGCAGTATCAGCTGACTATAACTAACAATAAATTATTATATATTTCCAAATACCTTAAAGAGAGGATTTTGAATGTTCCCAACACAAAGAAATGATAAATATTTGAGATGATGGTATGCAAATCACCCTGATTTGATCACTGTATATTCACAGTGTATCCCATCACCATGTATCCCATAGATATGTATGATTATTATGTGTTAATTTAAAAATTTAAAATATTATAAAAAATAATATAATCAATAATTCTGGAAGGAATGATGGGTATTTGAGAGGAGAAGATTTGAGTCTTTTTTGCTTTAAATTATCTAAGTAACTTAAAAATTAGTATCTACATATTATTCATATATCTTTAAATAAGTTTTAAAACTTTTAATTTCACCCACCTGATTATCATTATTTAGAAAGTCTTCAAGAACCCCTTTAGCACTCTTTGCCCTTGAAGTTTGTTGAGGACTATCATCAGAGTTAACGGGAACAGGAGATTTGCTAAACAGGATTTAAAGGATGCAAGATAGCAATTAAGTTCCCAATTTCTAAAAAGTAAACAGTATATAATTTAAGAATTCTCATTTAAATACAAGTAGTCACCAAGAAATAATCATCATGGATATGATTCATATTAATGTTGTATGGTAATTCCCTTATCTTCTCCCTAAACTGATACCAGAATCCAACCCCTTCTTATCTCCCTGCTTCTGTCTTCAAGCTTTAAGAAAACACTATGAAGAAACTGAAGATATTAACATTCAGCTAAACAAGGCCTGAACTACAGACTGTGCTCCAAAAGCTCACCTTGTTTGAAATAAACAGTACATTTTTCCAATTAAACATTGTTACCATCTAATAATCAACAACCCCATAAACTCTTAAAAGTTTTTACTAGAATGGCAGTTAAATGTTCTCCTACTTGAAGGCAACAGAACAGACTTCCCCTTTATAACTGGTATTAACATAAAGAACAGATTATTCTGGGAAGAGAATTCTGAAATTTAACATTCCTGCATGCAATCTCAGTCCCACTCACTATATGACCTTAAGTAATTTATCTGAATTTCAGTTTCAACATTTGTAGTCCCATCTATCTCACAGACATATTGCATAAACTGAATTAATTTTCTATGTACCTAGTACATTTAATAAATACCCATTTCTTTCCTGATATTCACGGGGTAGTAGAAGAAAGGGTATCCCCACCAAAAATAAGAATGCTCCGAGAATCAAATTCTATTAATCACAAAAATGAATTCAACCTATTTCTCTCTTATTCTTACAACACTATGAGGTATGTTTGTAACTCAAGAACTCAGATATCTAAGAATCTTTTTTTAACATTTACAGAATGCTGATGTTTTTTCTTAATAAGCATGCTTCTTTATTGACATATTTGATTTCTAATTCACAAGCTCTTTCATACTATCAGGTAGTCCTTTCCCCTATTCTTTGCTAACACTTTGTAGAGCCACCCATCTGTTATTAAAAAACATTTACCAGATTGTTGAAGAGTACACAGAGGTTCATTATGCTATTCTACTTTCGTAATTTATTTGAGCTTTTCCATAATAAAAAGTTTCTTTAAAAAAGCAATGATCTGATTGTGGTTTTGCTCTACCACTTAAAATACTACCTTGAGTACTTCCTATTCAATTTTGTTTTTGATGACAGGTTGATAATAATTTGTCAATCTCAAACTGAGATCTATTCCTTCTCAGCAATTCACCCTTAGTTTTATCTACAAACATTCCCTTCACAATATAAATTCAGTCTTCCAAAAATGAATTACTATATGCAAGGTACTGAGCCAAACTATTGATAATATTAATTATACAAGCTAGAAGTTACATTATCAAATAATAAAATACATTAAGTGCATTCAATAATTTTAAGCACCTCTGATACTACTTGCTTGCCCATTTTGGTTCCAATTAAAATCAAAGTATTGCAGCTATGATACTTTATTAATACACAGAACAAGTGATAAAATAAGCAACTAGGACACAAGAAGGATAAGAGAAGTTAAGCATTACGTGAACTCATTATCAAATCAAGTTTAAAAAAAATATGTATATATATCTCAACATATATATATGAAATATATAAGGAGAAATGAAGCTAAAAGAAGAAAATAAAATATTCTAGATAATCATCATCACTACTAAAATTTCTAAGAGAGCTCATCCTAGGTCAGAAACTTCATTTTCATTTTCTAGTCAAATTAATCCTCACAATAACCCTGAAGCAGACGTTATTTCTCCATCTTTAAAGTTTAGAGAAGTCAAGTAAATTGTACAAGGCAATACAGCAAGAAAATGGCAGACGTAGGCTTCTAAACTGGAATTATAGTCAATGCCTACATTCTGAAAAGAGACAATCAACTGAGAATAAAAAACAAAAAGAATCCAGGAACTAATAGACTCTGTCTATAACAGAATGAAAGTTTAGACAACTAAAGATAATAAATTATCAAAGCCTAAGGCATGATATGGGGTTAGCAATAATGCATTTCTGATAATAGAAAATGTACCATCATTTAAGGAAAACAACAACTAAAAGGGAAAGTAAAAAGTAAATGATAAGAAATTTGTAACTTCAGGCCGGGCACGGTGGCTCAAGCCTGTAATCCCAGCACTTTGGGAGGCAGAGGCGGGCGGATCACGAGGTCAGGAGTTAGAGACCAGCCTGGCCAACATGGTGAAACCCCGTCTCTACTAAAAATACAAAAATTAGCTGGGCATGGTGGTGCAGGCCTGTAATCCCACCTACTGGGGAGGCTGAGGCAGGAGAATGGCTTGAACCCAGGAGGCGGAGGTTGCAGTGAGCCCAGATGGTGCCACTGCACTCCAGCCTGGGTGACAGAGCAAGACTCCATCTCAAAAAAAAGAAAAGAAAAGAAAAAGAAATGTACAACTCCATTATATGGAGAGACTATAGAGGAACAGAGGAAAAGCTTTAAGTCAGAAGAAAATAACAAGAATTTCATAACACTACTCTGCAAAATAATTGTTTCTGGTTCTAATCCCTCATATTAAGATGCTTATCAATATTTTATAATGAAACAAAATGAGTACGTAACAAAGACAGATGTTATATAAAGTACCTAAGATTATGAACCATTATACCATCTTGTGGTAATAAATGAAAAATGCAATTTAAAGCAAGTAACACAAAGCTATGTTCTATGGAGTTACAATATTATTAATTACCGTTCGTTTAAATATAAATCAGATATTCGCATGACATTTTTCATTTGGAAAACTAAACAGTTTTTCCATTGCCACTTACTTACAAAGTAACAGGAATATTTTCCCATGATCTGTCTGCTTCAAGTTTATCTAATGAGCAAGGACTGTCATCCTTTTTCATGGACTTTGGTAATTCTTCAGTACACTGCTCTAGATTTCTCTTGGCCTTCAAGATAAGCAATTCAATTTTGTCACCTAATTGTAAAAGATGACTATTAATCCTTGAAGAAAAAAATTAATGTAAAGCATAGCAAAATCTCACAAAGTCAACAAGAGTTCTGATCATTTGGAATGTACATTCATCTATAACAGCAAATTATGTTAAAATGTGACATTTCAAGCAAAGAAAAAAATGGGAGAAAAGACATTTTCTAGTTACAAAATGCTGTATGTGAAGATTATAAGCATTCCAAAAAGATGTATTACATGAAAACAAAACATAAAAGCTCCCAGATATCACATCAACTTTACAGCACTTCTTTTGGTTTAAAAAAAAGAAAAATAAATAACTATAAGCAATAAACAAAGTATTACCACTGAATGGCTTTGTGGATTGTCCTGGGAGAAGTGGATTCTCACATTGACACTGGCTATGTTCAAAATCACATTTGTATTCATTAACTAATTCTTTATCATCACTCAAGGAATTTGAAAAGTTTGAGGGTTCAAAAGCATATTCAAAACAATCTAATTTATTGATAAGCCGAGAAGTTCCTTGTGCCTGATGACTATGTCTAGGGGAACACTGATCATCTTTAAATATCTGATAAACCCTTTGACTATTTGCATCAGGTAGCAAGTCTTGATTGTGCAGCCAGACTGGGTATTTGAAATCAGGTATACTAGTTATCCCTGAAACATTAAGGTCAGATTTCTGGCTAGTGAGCCATCTTGGGTAATTCTTTTCAAGACTGTGTTCTGAACTGTCCTTGAAAGACGATTTCTTGGGAAAAGACAAAGATGATTCAGAAATGCAATTATTAGTCCTATTCATAAGTTTTGGGTTTTTCAGCCTACCACATTGCTTTCCATTTATATTTGAGCGTATAACAGGAGTAACAAAGTTATCCTTGCCCATGGAAGTGTAGGGTCCTTGAAAATGTGGATTCTTCTCAATGTCCAATGAACCCAGTCTTCCACGGCATTTCTTGTTTTTCTTGCTCGTTCGGTGACTCGGTCCAACATAAGTATAAGAAAATGATCCATCTGCTGGGAGTCTTAATAGATCATCAGTTGTTAGGCTCATGGAGTCTATGTCATTAACGGTGTGTCTTCTACAGGATATGAAGTTTGAGTGCTTTTTGTGATCAAGGTTTTCAAAAGCTGAAAAACGAAGAACAGTTTTGTTTATTACATACAAATATTTTATAATATCCAACAGTAAATGAGAATTAAGAATTTAAGAGGCATTTTGCTGCTTTCCCCTTATCCTCACTAAAGCTTTGATTAAAAGCATAAAAAGGTGTAGGTGGATAAAACAGGATGTGCTTTTTTTCTCACGATTCTTCGTTCTGTGTTAATTTCTACGTTTCTCTCCAACCTCCTGAATTTTCCTGTGTTCTCTAATTTACTGTTCCTTCAACTTTCATCATCTAGACATATCTGATACACTAATACAATCACAGTAACATTGGTCACTCAATATTGGTTGCAGCATAGAAAAAAATATGCTATTAAACTAGGTGGAAAAATAACTTGTTTTCTCACCTACAAACCCTTCAATGGCATGGATTATACATAGAGAACAGCTGTTCTCATTCTTTGCTTCCGGAATATATTGACCACATCCCTCCAAGAACTGAATACAAACTTTTTCTATTCTAGGGTCATTCTGCAAGTGTTAAGTAAAGTAGTAATTGACTTATCAACAACTGCATTTTCCAAACTTGTCTTCAAGGAAGCTTTATTATGGACAAACTCTTAACATCTTGTGAATATTACTGTTCCACAGAGAATTATATAATCATTTTACAAAAACACCCAGATCTCAATATTATGTTATTTTTACTCCAAAGTAACAAAAATAATGTCAAACTTTACAATACTACAGTACATCTCCCAAATGCTTCAAAACATCTGAACACAAAGAAAACAAAGAATAAAAGCATACCATTGTTTGGTTTGTAAATATAGTTGCAGAACTGTGACATATTAGTAAAATCCTCATCAATGTTAATTTTTCCAGTGCTTGCACCAGGATATATTTGGCCTAGATCAAAATCATCAATATAAGCCTGTAGAGCTTGAGAAGCAGATCTGTACAGCTTATCTTTATAGTGAAACGAGCCATCAGAATTAGAGGAATTACTACCACTCAGGGTGCAGCTTGCCAGCAGGGCAGATACTGAAGATTCCTGAGAACAAAGTCTATGTTTTGTCTTTGATTTCGCCATGGCTTCTTCAAAGTGGATTGTTTCTATTCATTTCCCTTAAAAACAACTGTAATACAAAAACGAAATGTTAAGATGCCAATTAAAAGTGACCATACACAAACAAAATTACTAAATATGTAAACCTTTTGTAATTTTCTTTAAATAATAAAATCCATTATCTATAACAGACACTCCTTGTTAGGAATTGTAGATTTTTGTTATATTTATTATTGTGAATTCCTTCATCAATGATTTAGAAAACATTTTTTGAGTACCTACTATGTGGCTGGAAGTATGTATACAAAAATTATCTGAGAATATACATGGAAAATACCAAGGAGAGAGTACTCACTTCTTAAAAAGTCCTAAAAACTACTTATGAACCTCTTTTCTCTTATGGTGATATATTCTATGACATCACAATACCTAATATTCCCCTATACATCATATTTTTCAAATCATAAGCCTACTACCATGTGCTGCAGATAATAGCGCTCAATAAATTTTTTAAAGCCATCAAATGAAGTATTCAAAACAAGAACAATGGAGAATATTCACTTTCAATGTTATAAATGCTAGTACATTTACAACATTTAACTGTAAATAAACTGCAGGTCTTATTCTGGAATGAGTTAGCAATATACACTTTTCCTAAAATAGTTAATCATTTCCTGACCTTCGTTTTTGGTACCACCCTCCCTATTTTCAATTCTTATGTTAAATGGATTCAGCTCACCTCTTTCAAAGGAAGCTTAAATAATGTGAAAATCAACTCAATGTGTTCTTCTGTTTTTCCATTATTAAAATTGAGAGAATCCCTGTCTACCTCAGTACAGTAACAGGATGTATATTTGAAAACCTAAGAAATCACAGAACGAACCGGCACTAATTCAGTCCATGATGACATTCTTTTTAAAATTAAATGAATGGATTTCCTATACTAAAAAAGTATTAATGTTGAGGACTTAACATATGCTATGATGTTATAATGTTTAATTTTTGGCTATAATTTTAGAAATATTTGTTATAACAACTTTTAATGTAATCTTAGTAACTATTAAATTTGGCTTTAAAACATCGAAAGTTTTCTAATTAAATAAGAGACAAAGTAAAACATCATCCTACCACAGCGTTAGAGCATGCAATGGCCATTACAAGAGATCTGACCGTGGTCAGTGCAAATGGCAGAACATAAGGTAACAGTTGTTTCGTCTCATTGATTTATCTGAATTCTGTAATACTGGTATATCTCTGACGAATGGCTAAACTAAGCCAGCTTTACCTTTTTCGTATCCCTTTTATTTAAAGAAGTTTAAACTCACTCAAGTAAATTTGTTTGGATAAGCCTGACCAAATGTTTTCTGTCTTTGAATGCCGAACAGGCTACTGATTTTATTTTACAAAACCTTGAAAGAGAAAGCTGTTGTATTGGTCTCCGTAAGTGGGTGATAACATTTACTAGTTATTTCAACTCACAGGACAGACAAAAAGAAAATGCACAATTTAAGTTTCATTATGAAAAGTTTTCCAACTTTTCCCCAAAAGAGTATACAAAAGTAGAATCGTTCAATAAACCCCTATGTACTCATCATCCTGCTTCCAACAATCGCTGAACAGACCCCAATTGTAGCTAAAGTGGGTAGGGACCCACCCACTTCTCCCCACTTCAGCCACAGGATTATTTTGAACCCCACATATCTCATGCAAATCCCATATATCTTACCATTTCCTCCGTACAGGCTTCAGTTCGAATCTCCAAAAGAAAATCCATCACGCGGAAGAACAGAATGTTAAACTTATTGACAACAAATTTTAACTAACTTTGATTCAAAAACAGAATGTTCAGTGTTAAATAGCCAATGGGAATATCGCACAGGAAATTAAGAACAACTCTTGGAAATAGCTCTGTGACTGCTAAGTTAGGAAAGGGAACGTTTGTTTACTCGGCAGCAGAAAACCAGGAACCCACCGACCGGCCAGCGAAGGTCGCCCGTCTCCAGCAGTGCGCATCGTTCCCCTACCCCGGGCGCCCTGAATTCCAATTTTTCCAGTCCCAATCAGGCGACACCCTCCCTTTGGTGTTCCACCGCCCGTCAGTCACAGACACAGACAAGTTCTTCAGTGAGATGCTTTTCACTCCGAAACCATTTATTCAGCAGCCAGGGCGAGCGCAGCAATGGACTGAAGGAGAAGTGTTCCGAAGCGACAGCCCCAGAGCGCAAGCCCCTTCCTGTCGCCGCCTCAGGTCCGCAGACGCCCGTGTGAGCCCCCTCCGCCGCGTCCCGCGACCCTCCCTCGCCCAGGGGGCACTCCCCCTACAGTGTTCTTCCTTCCACAGAGACTCCACAAGCGCCCTCCCTCAGGAGACGTCTCCTCCTCTTTCCTCGCCACTCTCCTTTCGCCTTTTCTCGGCTGTCACAGGATGGGACAACCCTCGAAAAGACACCCTCCTTTCCGTCCTAACTCACCCCTAAGGCCCCAAAATAAAAATAAAGGAAAACAAAAACAAAAACCGCACACTTCCACAGCTCTCCGCCGAAAGCTCAGGCCTGTTACCCAACGCGAGACACCACAAAGCATCCCCAACCCGGACACCGCCCCGCCTCAGGCTCGGCTCACTCGCAGCTTCCTCCGCAGTCACAGCAGAGCTCGACACCCGCGCTCGCTTTCAAACCGCCCCAACATGGCGCCGGCCTGCGGTGCGCATGCGCGGCAGTGGGGCGCCGGGCGCGAGCGGAGATGAGGGAGCGGCCGGAGAAGAGAGGATGCTGTTGAGCGTTAGGTCGCGACCCCTGCTGGAAGGTGCTGTTTCTCCCTCCTTTCTGGGGCTGGGAATGGGGGGATGTGGGCTGCATCCAAGTCGCTGCCCCCCACGCCCTTCCAACCTCCGTCACAGCTATTCTCGGCCAGTTTGCGCGGGGACTTGCTGATCTCCCTTCAGCCGGCCCCGGGGTCTGCGGGAGGGGACTGGGTGGGGAGGGAGACTTAAGGGCGCTGGCGGCTGTCGTTCCGGTCGCTGAGAGTCTGCCCCACAGCTCCAGTTTTTCCAAGTGAGTTCAGCCTCCCCGCTTCCAGAGCATCCCCCGCCAAAAATAAGATATCGTCTCAGCTAGTAGGCAGTCCCCCCTCACCACTTCTTTCACTCCCTCTTCAGTGCCTTTCCTCTCACACCCCGGAGCCTCTCACACACAAAGCAGATGGGAGATTGGAGACCCGAGTTTAGCCAGGGATGGGATTTAACAAACTCCTAGGAAGCCTTGATTCCCAGGGAAGAATGGCAGTGACCCCGCACGGATTGGGGACCCAGTCAGGCAGCTCAGAAAGAGGGTCATTGTACAAACAGATGTAAAGACTCACTAACATGTGTGAACCTGTCTGTAAGTCTGGAAGGAATCCAGTTTCAACCAATTGGTGTATCAAAAAAAGAGGCCATCCCAATGTTGGTTTATGTTTATTTTCCACTGACCCTATGAGTGAAGATATCCTTGACCATGAGTCCATCTGAATATGTTCCAGCTCATCCGACGTTCCACCACCATGTAATACAATTGTAGTCTTACTGTTTGCACTTTCTTCTTTTTACCCTTTGTAGCCTACTAAATTTTACCTTCCCTTTTCTCTTAGCAAATGAAAAAGTCCGGAAGCTATAACGTTCAGTTTAGTGGTTAAACACAGGTCTATTGTGGCAGTAATAGTTGGTGATTTGAAAATAAGACATACCCTGCTAGTGGTATGTCCCAATAATCTTCAAAGTCTCTAGATCAATTAATATCAAGTAGGTTTCCAATAGGAAATCAAGAACGGTGTTTTATATGCTAAGACGAGCCCTGGTCGGGGATTAACAATCCTTGTTAATTGTTAGTGACGTAAGCTTAAAAACTTAAATTTTTGTATCCACGTTCCACCTAAGTGTCTTTTTAAACTGAGTTCCTTTAAAATAGTTTCTTAAAGATTCTTTTTATAAACAGTATCTTTTAAAGTTTTTTGTACTATATTTTTCTTTCATCTTGGGGCATATATGTAGCAAATGTTTCCTAATGAAGACAAAGTATAGATAAAGGACACTGAGAAGATATAAAGAAAATTATCAAATATATTGACCTAATTCATGGATCAAAATAATTCTACTTCTGCCTTGTTTCCTCACAGGTTAAGAGATATGGAGATTTCCACAAGGATTTGGAGAGGAGCCCCAGTAGTTACTAAAATTCTGCATTAGATCTGTCAGGAAAGGTAAAGAAACCAGGACTCTGCTAGGAAAGAGGAGGTTATAATAATGGTTTACTAAAACTTTTCAAATATAGAGACTATCAACTACCTGTTGTGCCTTGCTGGAGAATTAAATAAGAGAAAATAGATTTATGATCCAACCTGAAGAGTTTTAAGTGAGAGCTAAGGAAGAAATGTTCCAATAATTAAACTTTAAGAAGGTTTATTTAAGTGCTTAAGGAAGCAGATCTTTGGAGAGTTTTTTAAATGATGGATTTATATGTGTCCATTTTTTTAAAGAGAAACTAACTATTTTGATAACCTAGTATAGGGCTCCACACTGTTTAAAGCATTTTTACATATATTAACTCAACTAATCCTTATAATGATTCGGTGAGATAGATATTATTATCCCCATTCTATAGATATGGAAGTTGAAGTTCAAAGGTTAAGCAATTTATCCAAAATAATATAGCTGTACTAAGTGACAAAGTCAGGATTTGAATCCAGTTCTGTTTTCACCTTACCTGCCAGCTTCCCCTAACTGAAAGCTGGATGATGACCCGAAGGACCAGTGAGACTGCAGCTTCCGGAACTCATTCACAGCAGTAATAGTTATGTCTAGTATCTTACTCAACTGTTGTTGCTACATCTACCACAGTGCCTGTCTCAGTCCTTTTGGGCTGCCATAAGAAATTACCAAAGACTGAATGACTTGTAAACAATAAATTTATTTCTCAGAGTTCTGGATCCTGGAAGTCTGAGATCTGGGTGCCAGCATGGTTAGGTTCTGGTGAGGGCCCTCTTCTGGTTGCAGACTGCTAACTTCTGGCAGTGTCCTCACATGGAAGAAGGGGCCATTGAGCTCCCTGGGGTCTCTTTTGTGAGGGCACTAATCCCATTCATAAGGGCTTTGCCCTCATGACCTAATCATCTCCTAATATCACCCTGGGAGTTAGGATTTCAACATATGAATTTTAGGGAGACATAAACATTCAGTCCATTGCAGTTTCTAACTTCAAGCAGGGTTCAATGTGTTTAAATTGAGTTGATTTAAACTTGATCCTATCTGAGGAGGTGACATTTAAGCAAAGATACCTATGAAACAGTCAGTTATATGAACACATTGCAGAAGACAGTGACAAGCAGAAGGAACAGCAAGTACAAAGAACCTGAAGTCAGAAATTGCTTTATTGTATGTGAGGAACAGCCAGGAGATCAAATGATTGGAGCTAAGTGGACAAGAAGAAGACTGGTAGGAGGTATATTTGAAGAGGAAGCCAGGGGTCAGATCGTGTAGTGCCACTGCTACGCACTTTAAATAATCCTCAAGAACACATAACCAACAGCTCATAATGCTTCACAAGACAAAGGACGTGTGATTAAACTGTTAGAAATTAAAATTATTTATTGAATGACTATCGCATGCCAGGCACTGGATAGAACCTTAAGCATATCATCTCATCTAATCCTCACGCTAATTCTACAAGACATATATTATCCTAATTTTACCTTGAGAGAAATGGAAAAACAGAAATATTAAGTAACATGCTTCACACAATAGGTGGCAGAGACAAGATATGACCCAGGTTTCTGATTTCAAAGTCTAGATTTTTCCACTATACCACAGTTTCTCATTTGAAAGACTGTAAGGAGAGAGGGGTTCATGCATACATGCATTCATCAAGTAATTATGTTCATTTCTATGTGACAGGCATTATAGAAATAATATTAAAATGTAAGATAGCACTTTTTAAGTTTTTATATGGTTATATTCTTACCAGTTGTTTGTTTTTAAAACTTGCAGATAGATGGACTTCAAGGCAATTGCCCAACAAACTGCCCAAGAAGTTTTAGGTTATAATCGAGATACATCAGGCTGGAAAGTGGTTAAAACTTCAGTAAGAAAATAAGTTAAATTATGTTTCAAGACTTTGTTTTTAAGTAAGAAACAATTCATTGTAAAGACTTTTTTAAAAAAATATTTTCTGTTCCAGGTGCAGTGGTGTGCACCTATAGTCCCAGCTACTCAGGAGGCTAACACAGGAGGACTGCTTGAGCACAGGAGTTTGAGGCTGTCATGCACCATGATTGTGCCTGTGAATAGCCAGTACACTACAGACTGGGCAACATAGTGAGACCCTGTCTCTGAAAAATATATATATATATTTTTTTCTTTTACAAACCAGAAAAAAAAGTGTTTTTACTTTTGTTAGTTTTTCATTTTCATTTTTCCTGCATTTGACAGCTAATTATTTGTGGATTTTTATTCCCCTTTGAGAAAAAGATAACTGTTTCCAGTAAGGCTTCTAGAAAATTCCATGGAAATCTGTGAGTACAATCTTCTATTTACAATTACTGTTTTAAATTCAATGCCATTGATGTATCTGGAATTTCAGTGCTGCTTCATTAGCTATAATAAATTATTTTATAGTAATAAATAGAAATTATTAAGTCACTAGGCAGAAATGTGATAATAATAAAATACAGCAATCAGATACCATCTAATCTTCTATTTTCAAATCTGATGACAATCAGATAAAAAATCTCTTCTAATTACTAATTCACTAAATAGGAAATTTTCACTTCAAGAAATAATTACTATAAAAGCAGATTGGTATTTTCTTGCTAACAGTAATATTTTATGGAATTTTAAACCCTTCATGTGTCCATTAAATGAACCACTAACAAGTAAAGTGTATTTCTTCATTTTATTTTATTTTCTTGAGACAGGGTCTTGCTCTGTCACCAGGCTGGAGTGCAGTGGCACAATCTCAGCTCACTGCAACCTGTGCCTTCTGGGCTCAAGCAGTCCTTCCGCCTCGGCCTCCTGAATAACTGGGACTACAGGTGCACACCACCACACCTGACTAATTTTTATATGTTTTTGTAGAGATGGGGTTGCCCAGGCCAGTCTCAAACTCCTGAGCCCAAGCGATCTGCCTGTCTTGGCTTCCCAAAGTGCTGGGATTACAGGTGTGAGCCACTGTGCCCAGCCTACTTCCTCATTTTAAATATGCATTTTTTTCTGTATGCTTCTTTTAAATATACTTTTAAGGATAAAATTATTTCAAATACAAGTACACTAAGGGAAAGTATATTGACTTTTTTTAGCTTAATCTTTCAGAGTTCATTTATTGCTCATGATAGTACATCAGGGCCATCAGATCATCAAATTTTATTCAATTCCTTTTCTTTTGGAGTCCACTCCTTCTTTCAACTACCTCATTTTATGTTTCTTGCTTTTTTAAAATTTCAATAAAATTTACCTATATTATATTTCAGCCCAATTTTTTACCATTGGACAAAGCTGATATGCTTTCTCCCACTCACTTTAACAATGATCAGGAAAATAATCCCTACCTTATTGAAATAATGGTTCTAATACAGGCACTTTCAAAAATAAACAGGGAGGAGTGGGTATGGTCAAGCCTAGGTACACTAGGGGAATTAACTTTTGGATAATTTGGCTTTTTGGTATCTTACAGATCAGACCAGTGTAGACAGCAACCTTGGCATTTTTTAAAAGCTTGGAAGTTATTTATTTAGTCTACAAGTAATTATTGAGTATTTATTTAGAGAGTGCTATACAAATGCCTAGAGCCAAAGAATAGGTTCTGTTAAGCTGTTCTAAAGCTTTACTGGAAATTTTCATCAGAGATATTTTACTCTTACATGCAAAACTAAACAATTGGTACTTTTTGCACTCACAGTTTGAGTGAAATTTATATGCACTGTATACTAGGTATTTATTGGTGCACAACAAATTATCCCATAACTTAGCTACTTAAACATTTATTATCTTATGGCTTCTCTGGATTAGGAATCCAGGAACAGCTTTGCTAGGTGCCTCTGCCTCAAGGAATCCACAAGGCTGTAATCAAGGTGTCAACAGGGCTTAGGTCTCATCTGAAGACTCAACTGAAGGAGGCTATGCTCCAAACTCACTCACATTGTTGTTGGCAAGATTCTCAAGTAGCTGGGACCACAGGCTAGTTCTTTGAAAAGAAAAAAATGGCAGACCATTAGTAAGATTAACCAAGAAAAGGAGAGAAGATCCAAATAAACTCAATTAGCAATGAAATGGGAGATATTACAGCCAATACCACAGAAATACAAAAAGATCATTCAGGGCTACTGTGAACACGTTTACATGCACAAGCTAGAAAATCTAGAGGAGATCGATAAATTCTGGGAAAAAATACAACCCTCCTAGATTAAATCAGGAAGAAATAGAAAATCTGAAAAAAAAAAACAAAAACAAGTAGCAAGATTGAAACAATAATTTTTTAAATTGCCAACAAAAAAGTCCAGAACGAGATGGATTCACAGCTGAATTTTATCAGACATTCAAAGAAAATTGGTATGATCTTACTGAAACTATTCCAAAAGATAGAGAAAGAAGGAATCCTCCATTCTATGAGGCCAGTATCACCCTAATAACAAAACCAGTAAAGGACATTAAAAAAAAAAAAAAAAAAAAAACGGACCAATATCCCTGATTAACACAAATGCAAAAATCCTCAACAAAATACTAGCTAACCTAATCCAACAGTATATCAAAAAGATAATATATACCATGATCAAATGCATTTCATACCCAGGATGTGGGGATGGTTTAACATACCCAAGTCAATAAATGTGATAGATCACATAACCAAAATTAAAAACAAAAATTTTGATCATCTCAATAGATGCAGAAAAAGCACTGGACAAAATCCAGCATCTCTTTTTGACTAAAACCCTCAACAAAATAGGCATAGAAGGAACTTACCTCAAAGAAGTAAAAGCCATCTATAACAAACCCACAGCCAACATTATGCTGAACAGGGAAAAGTTGAAAGCATTCCTCCTAAAAACTGGAACGGGAAAAGGATGCCCATTTTCACCACTTCTATTCAACATAGTACTGGAAGTCCTAGCCAGAGCAATCATGCAGATGGGTAAAGAGGAAGACAGACTGTCACTGTTGATCAGTGATATGATTGTATACCTATAAAACCCTAATGACTCATCCAAAAAGTTCCTAGATCTGATAAGTGAATAAAGTTTCAGGATAAAGTCAGTGTACACAAATCAGTAGCACTGCTATGCAGCAACAGTGACCAAGCTGAGAATGAAATAAAGAATTCAACCCCTTTTTCAACCACTGCAAAAAAAGAAATACTTAAGAATATATCTAAGCAAGATGGTGAGAGATCTCTACAAGGGAAACTGCAAAACACTGCTGAAAGAAATCACTGACACAAACAAATGGAAACACATCCCATGCTCATGGATGAGTAGAATCAGTATTGTGAAAATGACCCTACTGCCAAAACAATCTACAGATTCAATGCAATTCCCATCAAACTCCCATCATCCTTCTTCACAGAACTAGAAAAAACAATCCTAAAATTCGTATGGAACCAAAAAACAGTCCACATAGCCAAAGCAAAACTAAGCAAAAAGAATAAATCTGGAGGCACCACATTACCCAACTTCAAACTATTCTACAAGGCTCTAGTTACCAAACACCATGGGACTAGTATAAAAACAGGCACGTAGATCAATGGAACAGAATAGAGAACCCAGAAATAAAGCCAAATACCCACAGCCAACTGATCCACAACAAAGTAAACAAAAACATAAAGTGGGGAAAGGACACCCTATTCAACAAATGGTGCTGGGATAATTGGCAAGCTACATGTAGAAGAATGAAACTGGATCTTCATCTCTTACCTTTTACAAAAATGTACTCAAGATGGATCAAAGACTTAAATCTAAGACCTGAAACCATAAAAACTCTAGAAAATAACATTGGGAAAACTCTTCTAGACATTGGCTTAGGCAAAGAGTTCATGACGAAGAACTCAAAAGCAAATGCAACAAAACCAAAAATAAATAGTTGGGACCTAATTAAACTAAAAGCCTTCTGCATCGTAAAAGAAATAATCGGCAGAGGAAACAGGTAACCCACAGAATGGGAGAAAATATTCACAAACTATGCATGCAGCAAAGGACTAATACCCAGAATCTATAAGAACTCAAGCAAATCAGTAAGAAAAAAACAAATAATCCCATCAAAAAGTAGGCAAAGGACATGCGTAGACAATTCTCAAAAGAAGATATACAAATGGCCAACAAACATGAAAAAATGCTCAACATCACTAATTATCAAGGGAGTGAAAATTAAAACCAGAGTGAGATACCATCTTACCCCTGCAAGAATGGCCATAATTTAAAAATCAAAAAATAATACATTTTGGCATGGATGTGGTGAAAAGGGAACACTTTTACACTGTTGGTGGGAAGGTAAATCAGTACAACCACTATGGAAAACAGCATGGAGATTCCTTAAAGAACTAAGAGTAGAACTGCAATTTGATCCAGCAACCCCACTACTGGGTATGTATCCAGAGGAAAAGAAGTCATTATATGAAAAAGACACATGCACACACATGCTTATAGGAGCACAATTTGCAATTGCAATTATATGGAACCAATGAGTGGATAAAGAAAATGTGGTATATATAAACTATGGAACACTACTCAGTTATAAAAAGCAACAAAATAATAGCATTCACAGCAACCTGAATGGAGTTGGAGACCATTATTCTAAGTGAAGTAACTCAGGAATGGAAAACCAAACATCATCTTTTCTCACCTATAAATGAAAGCTAAGCTATGAGAACACAAAGGCATAAGAATGATATAATGGACTTTGTGGACTCCAGGGAAAGGGTGGGAGGAGGAGGATGGATAAAAGACTACACATTGGGTACAGTGTACACTGCTCAGGTGATGGGTGCACCAAAATCTCAAGAAATTACCACCACAGAATTTATCCATGTAGCCAAAAACCACCTGTTTCCCCAAAACCTATTGAAATAAGTCCAAACATTTTATCGTGATGTGCAGGTAACTATCTGGGCCCCACTTACCTCTCTGACCTCATTTCTGACCACTTCTCTTCATTGTCCCTGTGTCACAGCCACAATGGACTTCTGTTGTTTGAATGCACTGAACTTAAACCCATCTCAGAGCCTTCTTAGTTGCTCTCCTCTTGCCTGGCAAGCTATTCCCCCAAATGTTTCCAAGGCTAATGTCATTTTTATGTTCAAGATGTCAGTTTCATTATCTCCTCTTCAGAATGACCTTCCTAGCCACGTGGCCAAAGTTCCCAAATACACACACTAAACCTCTATTTACTACATTGTTCTGCTATTATCTTCTTCATAGCACTTCACTATATGAAATTTATCTTCTTTGTTTTCTTACGTATTATATGTCTCTCATATTAGAATATAAACTTGATGAGGATACTAACTTTAATAGGCACCAGACTAGAAATAAATCACTGCATTCATTGCAGTATCCCTAGCACAAGAACAGTGTCTCTCACCAAGACACTTAATAAATATTGAATGAATTTATGGACTTCAGTTATATTATATTGGCTACCAAATGGGAAGTTATATATCTTATAACTGCAGTACAAAAAAATAAACTCAAGATAATTTTTCAACACTTATGCCTTTTCTTAATAATTTGCTACTCAAAAAGGGCCTTTTGTGGTTAGCTTTAAGCATTTGCCTGGAAGAGAAGCAGTTCTTTGGTTGGAATTTCGTTCCTTTCTGCTCTTAAGGGATGAAATACAGACCTACCAGCACATAGGTCTACACATTTCTCTCAGTGTTAGAAGCAGTGAACAGTAATGTCCTACTATATGTCAGGCACCATGCTAAATACTTTTCTTTCATTTTCTAAATATATTTCTCATATTTCCCACAATGTAAGCACTGTTATTATCCCCATTTTACAAATGAATAAGGGCCTATGTAAGTTACTATCTCCAAGTCACCTAACTAGTGTTAGTGAGACAAAAACTTAGACACCAAGACTTTACCTCAAAGGCTGTACTTTCTTAATCATTATTCTCTCTGACCTCATCAAAACTGTCAAGATGTATCTGTGGAATAATGAAGGCAGATTATCCAGAGATGGATTCTGGCAGAATGTACCTTTTCTGCCTTTAGGCATTTCATGCTTGTTTAGGATACTACTTTCTCCTCCATTGTCGTTACTACTTATTACCACCATCATTACCACCACTACATTTAATCCTCTATTCTACCTTCTGAGGCAGACATGTGAGACAGTTTGTAAGTTTTATAAATTAAAGCATTCAGGTTTAAACAGGTTGTATTAGTTCATTTTCACGCTGCTGATAAAGACATACCTGAGACTGGGCAGTTTACAAAAGAAAGAGGTTTAATGGACTCAGTTCCATGTAGCTGGGGAGGTCTCACAATCATAGCAGAAGATGAAAGTCATTCTTACATGGCAGCAGACAAGAGAGAATTGAGAGACAAGTGAAAAGGGAAACCCCTTATAAAAAACATCAGATCTCATGAGACTTATTCACTACCACGAGAACAATATGGGGGAAACCGCCTCCATGATTCAATTATCTTCCACCAGGTCTCTCCTACAACACCTGGGAATTATGAGAGCTACAATTCAAGATGAGATTTGGGTGGGGATACAGAACCAACCCATATCACAGGTTAAACATTTTTTAAAGTAACAAATGTAATTAATAAAGTTGCTGTGACCAAAATAAAGAGTTCTAACAGCTCAGGATTCATCCTGGTTCTACATAATGTGTAGATATATTTGGAGGAACAATGAAAAACACCCCAGTTTAGTATCTTCATAAACCTGGTTCAATATCTTCCTAAACTTAACATTTTTCTTAACTACAAAAATAATTCAGATATTATTAATATAATAATTTGGAAAGCGTTGTTCAAACTCTGCTGCCATTCCATTTTATGAAAAACTTAAGGAATGAAAAGTTATGTTATTCAGTGATGAATATTGTAGTACTATTTTTAAAATAGAATTTGGGGTTTATATTAGGTCATTTCACACAATTCTCTTTCACAAATAAAAAATTGGTAACATCAGTATCCATCAATAACTCCACAACCATTAACATCAGCTGGTTTATAGTTAATGCTGGGTGTGGGCAGAGCAGGAAATTAGGAAATATATTTATAATGAGTAAATACAAGTTGAGAATAAAAGATATGATAACAAAATAATTGCTAAAGACTAGTTTATAAAATACGTTATTGAATCATCTTATTTTGGTTTGCAGTTTAGAGCAAGTTACTTAGATAAAATATAGGTTCTCTACCTACTCAAGAGACATTAAGAATTTTTGTTGTAATTGTTTTTATGCAATAGATTAGATGAGAAATAAATTTAATGTCATTCTCTAATTCAGAAAAAAAGGACTTGTGGAACTAATTCATTTTTAACAATTTTATTGAGATAATTTATGTACCCTAAATTTCACCTACTTTAAGTGTACAACTCAGTGATTGTTAGTATATATACAGAGTTGTACCAGGATCACCATAATTTCATTTAGAACATTCTCCTCCCCAAAAAAGAAACTTGTGCCTACTAGCATTTACTTCCCATTATCCGATTCACCCCAGCCCCAGGCGACTAGGTGACAGTTTCTGCCTTTTATATTTGCCTATTCTGGACATGTCATAAAGGAGATCACATGCTATGTGGTCTTTTGTGACTTGCTTCTTTCACAAATTCTTTTATCATGTTTTTGAGGTTTACCCATGTTGTAGCTTGTGTCAGTACCTCATTTCTTTTTATTGAAGAATAATGTTCTATGGTACGGATATGCCACATTTTATCTATTCGTCAGTTAATATATACTTAGTTTCTATCTTTTAGGTATTATAAATAATGCTGTTATGAAATTTGTGTACAAATTTTTGTGTGGACATATATTTTTATTTCTCTTGGCTATAGATCTAGGACTGGAATTGCTGGATCATATGGCAATTCTATGTTTAATATTTTGAAGAACTACTAGATCATTTTAGAGACTGGCCGCACCGTTTTATATTCCTAACAGCAGTGTATGTAGGTTCCAATTTCTCCACCTCTTCAGCAACATTTTTCATATCTGTCTTCTTGATTATAGCTATCCTAGTTGGGTATGTAGTGGTATCTCATTGTGGATTTGATTTACATGTCCTTAATGACTTGTGACCATAAGCTTCTTCTTACGTGCATATTGACCATTCATATATCTTCTTTAGATAAATATTTATCCAAACTCTTTTTTAAAAAATTGAATTTCTTTTTATCGTTGAGTTGGAAGAGTTATTTATACACTGTGGATACTAGTTTAGTATCACATATATGATTTGCGACTATTTTCTCCCATTCTGTAGGTTGTCTTCTCACTCTCTTGATGGTATCCTTTGAAGCACAATTTTTAAAAATTTTCTTGAAGTTCAATTTATCCGTCTTCTGTTGTGTTACTTGTGTTGCTGGTGCTGAATCCAAGAAATAATTGGCTGACCCAAGGTCACAAAGATTTATCCCTAAGAATTTATGGTTTTATTTCTTACATGTAGGTCTGTTGTGATCACTTTGAGTTAATTTTCTGTATGGTGTGAGGCAGGAGTCCAATTCAATCTTTGCATGTAAATATCCAATTGTCCCAGCACTATTTGTTGGAGATTCTTCTTTCCCCATTACATTGTCTGGGCTCCTTTGTCAAAAATCAATTGACCATATACATTAGGAGTTTCCTTTGGATGCTTAATTATATTCAGTTGATCTCTCTGTCTGTCCTTATGCCAATACCACACAACCTTCACTACTATAGCCTTTTAGTAAGTTTTGAAATTAAGAAGTGTGAGTCTTACAACTTTTCTGTTTTTCAAGACTATCTTGGCTATACTGGTTCCCTTGCATTTCCATATGAATTTTAGACACTCCAGCCTCAGCAACAGAGCAAGACCCCATCTCAAAAAAAAGTCAGCTGGGATTTTGACAAAGATGCTTTGATTCTGTAGTTCAATTTGGAGAATTATTGCCATTTTAAAAATATTAAGTCTTCCAGTACATGAACATAGGATGTCTCTCTGTTTATTTTGAGCTTCTCAAACTTCTTTCAGAATGTTTTATAAGTTTCAGTATATGTCTTAAACGTGTTCTATTTTTTTTTATTTTACTCTAACACCATTCAATGACTTTTGTTAAATTTATTTCAAAGCTTTATTCTTTTTGATGTTATTGTAAATGGAATTGTTTTCTGAATTACTTTTAAAAAATTTTAATCCTAGCATATAGAAATACAATTGATTTTTATATATTGATCTTGTATCCTGAAGCTTTACTGGACTTCTTAGTTGTATTATTTTAGTGGATTCTGTTGTTTTTTTCTATATATAAAATCATGTCATGAAGAGTTTTACTTCTTCCTTTTCAATCTGGATGACTTTTATTTCTTTTTCTAACCTAACTGCCTGGGCTAGTACCTCCAATACAATGTTTAATAGCAGTGACAAGAGTGGACATCCTTGTCTTATTCCTGATCTTAATAGAAAAGTATTTAGTTTTTCCACCATTAAGTTTGATGTTAGCAGTGGATTTTTCATAGGTGCCCTTTATCAAGTTGAGGGCATTTCCCTATACCCCTCATTCTATGAATGCTTTATCCTGAATGGGTGTTGGATTTTGTCGTATGCTTTTTCCACATCTATTGAAATGATGTGGTTTTGTTGTTTAGTCTATTAAAATTGTGTATTGTAGTAATTGATAATTCATATGGTAAACCAACCTTGCATTCTGGGATAAATCCCACTTGGTCATGCTTTATAATCCTTTTTATACATTGCTAGATTTGGTAGGCTGGTACTTTCTTGAAGGTTTTTGCATATACATAAGAGATACTGGGGTGTAGTTTTATTTTCTTTTTTTTTTTTTTTTTTAATTTATTTTTTTATTGATAATTCTTGGGTGTTTCTCACAGAGGGGGATTTGGCAGGGTCATGGGACAATAGTGGAGGGAAGGTCAGCAGATAAACAAGTGAACAAAGGTCTCTGGTTTTCCTAGGCAGAGGACCCTGCGGCCTTCCGCAGTGTTTGTGTCCCTGATTACTTGAGATTAGGGATTGGTGATGACTCTTAACGAGCATGCTGCCTTCAAGCATCTGTTTAACAAAGCACATCTTGCACCGCCCTTAATCCATTTAACCCTGAGTGGACACAGCACATGTTTCAGAGAGCACAGGGTTGGGGGTAAGGTCACAGATCAACAGGATCCCAAGGCAGAGGAATTTTTCTTAGTGCAGAACAAAATGAAAAGTCTCCCATGTCTACTTCTTTCTACACAGACACGGCAACCATCCGATTTCTCAATCTTTTCCCCACCTTTCCCGCCTTTCTATTCCACAAAGCCGCCATTGTCATCCTGGCCCGTTCTCAATGAGCTGTTGGGCACACCTCCCAGACGGGGTGGTGGCCGGGCAGAGGGGCTCCTCACTTCCCAGTAGGGGCGGCCGGGCAGAGGCGCCCCTCACCTCCCGGACGGGGCAGCTGGCCGGGCAGGGGGGCTGACCCCCCCCACCTCCCTCGCGGACGGGGCGGCTGGCCGGGCGGGGGGCTGACCCCCCCACCTCCCTCGCGGACGGGGCAGCTGGCCGGGCAGAGGGGCTCCTCACTTCCCAGTAGGGGCGGCCGGGCAGAGGCGCCCCTCACCTCCCGGACGGGGCGGCTGGCCGGGCAGGGGGGCTGACCCCCCCCACCTCCCTCCCGGACGGGGCGGCTGGCCGGGCGGGGGGCCGACACCCCCACCTCCCTCCCGGACGGGGCGGCTGGCCGGGCGGGGGGCCGACCCCCCCACCTCCCTCCCGGACGGGGCGGCTGGCCGGGCAGAGGGGCTCCTCACTTCCCAGTAGGGGCAGCCGGGCAGAGGCGCCCCTCACCTCCCAGACGGGGCGGCTGGCCGGGCGGAGGGCTGACCCCCCCACCTCCCTCCCGGACGGGGCGGCTGGCCGGGCAGAGGGGCTCCTCACTTCCCAGTAGGGGCGGCCGGGCAGAGGCGCCCCTCACCTCCCAGACCGGGCGGCTGGCCGGGCAGGGGGCTGACCCCCCCACCTCCCTCCCGGATGGCACGGCTGGCCGGGCGGGGGGCTGACCCCCCACCTCCCTCCCGGACGGGGTGGCTGCCGGGCGGAGATGCTCCT
Source organism: Homo sapiens (assembly GCF_000001405.40). Taxonomy (NCBI): domain Eukaryota; kingdom Metazoa; phylum Chordata; class Mammalia; order Primates; family Hominidae; genus Homo; species Homo sapiens. Next base: position 54,343,326 of record NC_000018.10, on the reverse strand, counting down.
CACTTCCCAGATGGGGTGGCTGCTGGGCGGAGAGGCTCCTCACTTCTCAGACGGGGCAGCTGCCGGGCGGAGGGGCTCCTCACTTCTCAGACGGGGTGGTTGCCAGGCAGAGGGTCTCCTCACTTCTCAGACGGGGCGGCCGGGCAGAGACGCTCCTCACCTCCCAGACGGGGTCTCGGCCGGGCAGAGGCGCTCCTCACATCCCAGATGGGGCGGTGGGGCAGAGGCGCTCCCCACATCTCAGACGATGGGCGGCCGGGCAGAGACGCTCCTCACTTCCTAGATGTGATGGCGGCTGGGAAGAGGCGCTCCTCACTTCCTAGATGGGATGGCGGCCGGGCGGAGACGCTCCTCACTTCCCAGACTGGGCGGCCGGGCAGAGGGGCTCCTCACATCCCAGACGATGGGCGGCCAGGCAGAGACACTCCTCACTTCCCAGACGGGGTGGCGGCCGGGCAGAGGCTGCAATCTCGGCACTTTGGGAGGCCAAGGCAGGCGGCTGGGAGGTGGAGGTTGTAGTGAGCCGAGATCACGCCACTGCACTCCAGCCTGGGCACCATTGAGCACTGAGTGAACGAGACTCCGTCTGCAATCCCGGCACCTCGGGAGGCCGAGGTTGGCGGATCACTCGCGGTTAGGGGCTGGAGACCGGTCCGGCCAACACAGCGAAACCCCGTCTCCACCAAAACCAGTCAGGCGTGGCGGCGCGTGCCTGCAATCGCAGGCACTCGGCAGGCTGAGGCAGGAGAATCAGGCAGGGAGGTTGCAGTGAGCCGAGATGGCAGCAGTACAGTCCAGCTTCGGCTCCGCATGAGAGGGAGACCGTGGGGAGAGGGAGACGGAGACGGAGACGGAGAGGGAGGGAGAGGGAGAGGGAGAGGGAGAGGGAGAGGGAGAGGGAGACGGAGAGCATTTTCTTATGATATCTTTATCTGGTTTTGATATCAAGCTAAAATTTGGGAAATGTTTCCTCCTCTTTTATTTTCTGGAATAGTTTGTGGAGGATTTATGTAAAAATTTTTCTTTAAACTTTTGGTCAGATTCACCGGTGAAGCCATCTGAGCATGGGCTCTTTTTGTGGGGATTATTTGGATTACTAATTCAATCTCTGTCTTGTTATAGATAATTAAGATGTGCTATTGCTTCTTAAATCAGTTTCAGTAATTTGTGCTTTTCTAGGACGTTGTCCATTTCATCTAAGCTATCTACTTTGTTGACACATCATTCTTCTCTTACAACCCTTTTTATTTGTATAGGGTCAGTCTTGATTTTAGTTGAGTCTATTCTCTTTTTTTGCGTACATCTAGCTAAACATTTATCAATTCTGTTGATCTTTTCAAAGATACAACTTGTGGTTTTATTAATTTTCTTATTTTTCTATTCACAATTTCATTACTTTCTACTGTAATCCTTATTATTTCCTGCCTTCTGCTAGCTTTGGGTTTAGTTTGCTCTTCATTTTCTAGTTTCCTAAAATTAAAGGCTAGGTTATTGATTTCAGAACTTCTTTTTTTAAAAAATATAGACATTTACAACTATAAATTTTCCTCTAAGCACTGCTTTTGCAGCATCCCATAAGTTTTGGCATGTTGGGTTTTCATTTTGATTTATCTCAAATTATTCTCTAATTTTTCTTTGACTTAATTTTTCTTCTTTGACTTACTGGTTATTTAAGAATGTTTTAATTTCTACATATTTGGGAATTTCCCAAATTTCTGTTGTTAAAATTTAATTCCATTGTGATGACAAAAATACTTTGTAAAATTTGAATCCTTGAATTTGAGACTTGTTTTATTGCCTGAACGATGGTCTCTCTTGTAGAATGTACCAGATGCACTTGAGAAGAATGTCTATTCTGCTATTTTTAGGAGTGTTCCATAGGTGTCTCTTAGATCTAGTGTTGTTCAAGTCTTCAATATTCTTGCTGATTTTCTTCTGATTGTTTCATTCATTATTGAAAATGACGTGGGCCGGGCACGGTGGCTCACGCCTGTAATCCCAGCACTTTGGGAGGCTGAGGTGGGCGGATCATGAGGTCGGGAGATCGAGACCATCCTGGCTAACACGGTGAAACCCCGTCTCTACTAAAAATACAAAAAATTAGCCGGGCGCAGTGGCGGGCGCCTCTAGTCCCAGCTACTTGGCAGGCTGAGGCAGGAGAATGGCGTGAACCCTGGAGGCGGAGGTTGCAGTGAGCCGAGATCGCGCCATTGCATGCCCTCCAGCCTGGGCAACAGAGCAAGACTCTGTCTCAAAAAGAAAAAAGAAAATGACCTATTGAGGTATCTAATTATTATTGTGAAATTATCTATTTCTCCCTCGAGATATGTCCATTTTCCCTTTATGTATTTGGGGCTCTATCATTAGATGAATATACGTTTATAGTTATTACATCTTCCTAACAGGTTAACCCTTTTATCATTGTAATATATCCCTCTTTATCTCTGCTAATAGTTTTTATCTTAAAGTCTACTTTATTTGATACCAGTAAAGCCACCTCAGCTCACTATGGTTCCATTTACAGGGTGTATCTTTTTCAAGCCTTTTACATTCACCTATATGTATCTTTGAATTTAAAGCGTATCTTTTATAGACAGCAAGCATATAGTTGGAACTTGTTTGGGGTTAAAAGAAATACTGTCGACAATCTCTACCTTCTGATTGGCTTGTTTAATCCAGTCACACCTAATGTTACTGTTATATGGTTGTATTTATGTCTGCCGTATTCAGTCACACCTAATGTTATTGTTATATGGTTGTATTTATGTCTGTCATTTTTCCTGTATTTTAAAAATTTATTTTGTTTTCTGTATGTCTCATGGCTATTTTGTTCCTCTGTTCTTTTACTATCTTCTTTTGTATTAAGTAGGTTTTGTCAAGTGTATCATCTTTAATTCCTTTAATAATTTTTTGAACTACATTTTTTGGTTATTTTCTTAGTGATAACTATAGGGGCTACAATATATTTTAATTCATCAGAATCTACTGCAGATGTATACAAACTTAATTCCAGTAAGATATAAAAGCTTTACTTCTATATGGTTCCAGTCCCTTCCCCAACATTTTGTGCTGTTTTTTGTTGCACATATTATGTCTATATATGTTACAAATCAAATACCATATTGTTATAATTATTGCTTTATATAGTATCTTTTAAAGAACTTAATAGGAGAATACAAACATACTTCAAGATATTTCTATCTTACCCATCTAAATACACATATATATCCGTAAGAATACATCTATATAGAAATATAGCTTTAGAAATATATTCTTTCTTATTTACCATTTCTGGTTCTCTTCATTGGTTTCTGTGGATTTGAGTTACTATCTGCTGTTATTTTTTTTATTCACATATAGCTTTATTTCCATCCCCCTCTGTTGTGTTTATTGTCAATTATATGTATACATTTTATAAGCCCAATAAAATGTTATATTGTTTTAGGAAATTGACTTTAATCAGTTAATAGAAGAAAGGGGAAGAAATATGTAATTATACTGTATTGTAACATTAGCTACATACTATTGTTACTGTAACTCTTTATTTGTAAGGATTTGACTTACTATTTTGTGTCTCTTCCTTTTGCCTGAAGAACTTCCCTTTAGCATTTTTTGTAAGGCAGGACTACTACCAATAAATTCTCTGTTTTTATTTATCTCAGAATGTCTTTGTTTAACCTTTATTTTTGAAAGATAACTTAGCTGGATATAGAATTCTTTTTTGGTAGCTTTTTTTCTTCAGCTCTTCAAACGTCATTTACTTCCTTCTGGCCTCCATTGTTTCTAATGGCATGCCAGCTGTCAGTCTTATTATGGTTCTCTTCTATGTAATGCCTTTTTTTTTTTTAACTGCTTTCAAGACTTTATTTTTATTTTCATGTTCAGAATTTTGACTATGATATATCTGGAAGTGGATGTTTTTCCACCTATACTACTTAGAATTCAATGAACTTCTTGAATGTAGTATTTTCCTACAAATTTGTAGAAATTTTACTCATTATTTTATTTCTATATTTTTTTGCATATTTTTCTTTTTCTCTATCCTTTCTTGTTTTGAGAGACGGGTCTCACTCTCTTATCCAGGCTGGAGTGCAGTGTCAGTTCTTTCCTTCTGGTACTCTCAAAATGTGTATATTGATGTGTTTAATGGCATATCACATTTCTCTGAGGCACTGTTTATTTTTCTACCTTTTTTTTTTCCTGCTTTCGTTAGTTCTTTGAACATATTTACAATCATTGCTTTGAGTTTTTTTTTTTTTTTTTTTTTTTTTTTTTTTTTTTTGATGGAGTCTCACTCTGTCGCCAGGCTGGAGTGCAGTGGCACGATCTCGGCTCACTGCAACCTCCGCCTCCTGGGTTCAAGCGATTCTCCTGCCTCAGCCTCCCAAGTAGCTGGGATGACAGGCACATGCCACCACGCCCAGCTAATTCTTGTATTTTTAGTAGAGACGGGGTTTCACCATGTTGGCCAAGTTGGTCTCGATCTCTTGACCTCGTGATCTGCCTGCCTCGGCCTCCCAAAGTGCTGTGATTACAGGAGTGAGCCACTGCGCCCGTCCAAATTTTTTACATGATAATTCCAACATCTTTATATGATAAGGCCTCCTAAAATGTAGTTTCTCCTGCTTGCTGTTTTTCCTAAGTATAAATCATACTTTTCATGTTTCTTTGCATGACTCGCAGTTTTTTTTTTAAAACAACGTTTTAGGTAAAATAGTGTAGCAACTCTGGATACTGACTCCATCCACCCATCCTGGGTTTGTGGTTATTTGTTTGGTCATTTGTTCATCTGTTTGGTGATTTGGCTGGACTAATTCTGTGAAGTCTATTTCCCCCGAGTCTGTAGCCTCTGATATCTCTGCTCTGACTTTTTACTTGCGGTTATCTTTTAGCCTGGCCTCCTATGGATCACTCCTTGGTCAACATAAGCCATTTTGTGGTAATTTTTACCCTCTACTGTCAAATATGTATGTGGATTGAAGACCGCTTTTGTAATTCAGGGAGTTTTGTGGTTTTGCTCTGGATTTAGCCAGGGACTGGTAGCTTGGAAGTTTTGTCACCAGTCACTCCTCAGAGGGTGCAGCCTTCAGCATACACAGTCTTCCAGACCCAGCTATGAGTATATTTTATTTTAAAGTGGATAGAATATATTATTTTCCAGTCAGTGATGCATTACAGGTTGTACTATACTTTTGTCCCTGAGTCAGTAAGGCATCAGCTCTTTGCTAATCAATCTGAATGTGGCTTGGGAAATACTTACAAGTCTGCACTACATCTTGCTCTGACTGGTACTGAGTAGGCAGAGCCGGTGCATAAACACAGCCTTCCAGACCCCAGAGATGAGTGTGCTCGTAGTGGGCCACTTTAGCTGTATGTTTCCCTGCTTCTCTCTGTTAAACTTCTGGCTGGTCGTCTTTGTTTCTTTGTTGCTATTAGTTTTATGCAGCTATTGGCCTTCTAATTGTTCACCAACAAAAAATAATTTCTGCCTTACAGCCATATAACTGTAATTTGTACTTTTCTTACCTTTACAAAGTGACTGGAAAATGCAAGATTAGCCACTGAATGGATACCCTAAGCCAGGGGTTGGCAAAGTTTTTCAGTAGAGGGACAGACAGTAAATACTTTAGGCTTTGCAACTCATTTGGTCTCTTGCAACTACTCAATTCTGTCATTATAGCACAAGAGCACCCAGAGCTAACACATAAATGAATGAGTGTGGCTATGTTTCAATAAAACATTACAGTTGACCCTTGAACAATGTGGGAGTTAGGGGTGCCAACCCACCGTACAGTCAAAAATCCCATTATAAGTTTTGACTCCCCAAAAACTTAATTACTAATAGCCTACTTATAGAAAAATGAATTTTGAAATAATGTATTTATTGCAGTGCATATTTAAATAAACCTTGCTACTTCCAATTGAATATTAATATATTGAATTGCTGATAGTACCTTCAAGTTTTCTTCATTGCTGTTTGCTAAATTAGCCTACCTTTATGCTTTGATAGTATTATATTTTCAGCTTAGACTAAACTTTTTAAGCTTTGAATTTTCTTTATTTTGTTAACTGTAGATATCGTGTTGAAGGGATAATTCCAGAATCACCAGCTAAACTATCTGATTTCCTCTACCAAACTGGAGACAGAATTACATGGGATAAATCATTGCAAGTGTATAATATGGTACACAGGATTGATTCGGTAATTTGTTGTTTAATACTGGACTTCTAGAACATTAATATATTTTTAGTTTATACCTTAGTGAGTTGATTAAAACTATGTTATGTAGACACAGTATTTTATAGTTTCAAATTGACTTGAAGTCTTTATAAAAGCTTTAAAACTTCCCTACTTTCCAACAGTTTAATTCCAATTAGCTTTATGCTACTTGTAAATGCATATTACATTTTGAATCTGGTAAGCTCTCCTGCAATGTGTGCCATTTGTTATAAAGGAACAGAACTCAGGGATTCACCTCCATTACATGGAAAACAAAGGTTAAGTATGCCTTATTGATGGGAAGTCTGTAGACTTATTTTAGTCATATTACATCAGATATTAGGAAACTTACAATCATGGCAGAAGGCGAAGGGGAAGTAAGCACATTTTACCATGGCAGAGCAGGAGAGAGAGGGAGCAAAGGGGGAGATGCCACACATTTTTAAACCATCAGACCTCGTGAGAACTCACTCACTATCATGAGAACAGGAACAATGCAGACATATACCATAAGGACTTAAAGAACGAACGGCATATAATGTTTAAGAGTAGGTGTATGAGTCCGCCGGCTATGAAGAAATACCCAAGACTGGGTAATTTATAAAGGAAAGAGGTTTAATTGACACACAGTTCCGCATTGGTGGGGAGGTCTCAGGAAACTTATAATCATGGTAGAAGGCAAAGGAGAAGCAGGCACCTTCTTCACTGGGCAGCAGGAGAACAGCATGCGGGAAACCACCCCCATGATCCAATTATCTCCACCTGGTCCTGCCCTTGACATGTGGGGATTACAATTCAAGGTGGGATTTGGGTGGGGACACAGAGCCAAACCACATCAGTAAAGTTAAAGTAAGGAAATAACATTATATAGAAGGTTGAAGTTTAGGAACACTTTCAAATACATTATCTCAGTTAAATAGATATAAAGAGAGAGAATAAAAACAAAGAGAAAACAAAAATGTAATTGGAGTAGAAAGTTGAGAGAAGGGAGAATGTGAGAGGCAAGTATGGTTTACAGAGAAACAGAAGAAAGGATCAGTATGAGGTAAGGGCAGAATGAAAGCTCAGGAGGAGAAAAAATGAATGAAATGACAGGAATAATGATACATGGTGAAAAGAGGTTGCATTAGTCTGTTTTCACACTGCTCTAAAGAACTACCTGAGACTGGGTAATTTATGAAGAAAAAAGGTTTAATTGACTCACAGTTCTATAGGCTTCACAGGAAGCATGACTCGGAGGCCTCAGGAAATTTACAGTCATGGCAGAAGGTGAAGGGGAACACCTTGGCATGAGGTAACAGGTAACTCTTCTGTTACCATGGCAGAACAGGAGAGAGGGAACTAAGGGGGAGATACCACACACTTTTAAACCATCAGATCTCATGAGAACTCACTCACTATCATGAGAACAGCAATTGGGAAGTCTGCCCCATGATCGAATCACCAGGCTGATCCTCCAATTCAACATCATATTTGGGCAGGGACACAAATTCAAACCATATCACAAGTAGAAACAAGGATGAAGAAGTGGGATAAGTGATTCCAAACTTTGGTCCAGCACACTATAGATATCTCATTTATGTATTAAGGCCATGATAAAAATAACCACCTGGGGCTGAGCGCGGTGGCTCACACCTGTAATCCCAGAACTTTGGGAGGCAGAGGCGGGTGGATCACCTGAGGTCAGGAGTTTGAGACCAGCCTAGCTAATATGGTGACCGCGATTCTACTAAAAATACAAAAAATTAGCCAGGCGTGGTTGCATGCGCCTGTGACCCCAGCTACTCGGGAGGCTGAGGCAGGAGAATCACTTGAACCAAGGAGGCGGAGGTTGCAGTGAGCCAGGATCATGCCGTCGCACTCCAGCTTGGGCAACAAGAGTGAAACTCCATCTCAAAAATAAATAAATAAATAAATAAATAAATAAATAAATAAATAACCACCTGGAGGGATGGGGGGATGATTCTCCTCTCTTCCATTAATGTATTAAAATTCATTCTCCATTCCAGTTGTTTGTGTTTTCTCCATCTTAGGAAATCTGTTTTGGGGGGAATCCTGACTTTGTTCCATACTCTTCCAGACTGATGTTTATGTTCTTTTGACTAATTAATTCACTTGACAAATATTTCACAAAATACTTCACACTTCACAAATACTTTTTGAGCAACTATTGTGAACTCCATACTGTTTCAGTTCACTAGGGACACATAAGGGAAGAAGACAGAAATTGTCCCTGCTTTCACAAAACTTACGTTCTCATCAGAAGAGACATAATAAACAAATAAACAGTTTTTTAAAACTTACCAGATAATGAAGGCTAGGACTGGTAAGAATAAGTGTTATGTAGGATAATAGTATAGGCAATAACCAGGAGAAGCTAATTTATAGCTAGAGAACTGGGAAAGGCCTCTCTGAGTGAGACACATTAGAAACCTGGGTAACAAAATGGAGGTTAGGGAGACAGACAAGCAAAGATCTGGGAGAGAGTAGCAGACACAGGGTAAAGCAAATGCAAAGGCCTTGAGGTAGAAAGAGTTTGGCAGTGTTTAGTCAAGAGATAAACAAAGTCTGTGGGGTTTGACCATAAAAAGCAAGGAGAAGAGTGGTTAAGAGGTGAGAGGTTAGGCTGGGATCAGATTCTGCAAGAGTCTCAAAGGTCAGGGGGAGAAGTTTTGCTCTACGTTCAGTGGGAAGCCATTGGTGTGTTTTAAGCAGGGAAGTGACTGATTTGATTTACACTTTTAAGAGACAGCTGCTGAAAGGAGCATGGATTATAAGGAGGTAAGAAAGAAATCAGCAAAAACAGTTATGAGGCTACGAAATCAGCAAAAAGTTATGAGGCTATGAGAGTAATCTAAATGAGACATTATGGTGGCTTGTGCAAGGGTGGTAGACGTGGAGAGGGAGGTAAGTCAGGGAACCCAAAGATATATAGAGTCAATAGGGCTTACTGATGCAGGGAGAGAGGAATCAGATAAGTCTTCTAAAACTGGATTGTGATGAAATTGCACAAATAAAGTTCCTTTGGGAAATTCATTGAACTACATACTTAAAATAGGTGAATTCATGGTATGTATATTATACTCAATAAGCTGTTTTTAAAAATGAGTCCTAGATTTTTGGCTAATAATAACTTTATTTAAAAGAGATGAGAATGTGAATGATGGAATAAAACTAATTTTTATGATTTTCACAAATGATTGCATTTGTAAAATTTCAGATCACTAGGCCTTTAGTTCTTTAAGTCTCCAACCTGCATTTCATTTATCAAAGCAAACAAAAATAAGTAAATAAATAAATAAACATCCCACATATCTGCCATCATATTATCATTTATTTAGAACTCTGTAATTTTACCTACTTTTATTAAACTCATCTTAAAATCTAGGAGAGAAGAGTTATAGAAAAGCCCATGAAGGTAAATCTGTTTCATCTTGTAGAAAGTCCTTGATCTTCATCTTGTAAATCAGTTTTATTTTGTAGAGAGGAAGTTCCTATCCACAGAAAACACATGTCCATGATCTTCTTGGGATTTGAACATTCAGTTTGAGAACCACTGGGCATCACAAATGAAAATCCAAAAATTTAACTATTTCATTCATCTTTGTATGATACTAATCATACAGTTTGATTAGCACTTCAGATATTTCTTTTTTTGAGACAGAGTCTCGCTCTGTCACCCCAGGCTGGAGTGCAGTGGCACAATCTCGGCTCACTGCAAGCTCCGCCTCCCAGGTTCACGCCATTCTCCTGCCTCAGCCTCCCAAGTAGCTGGGACTACAGGTGCCCGCCACCACGCCCGGCTAATTTTTTGTATTTTTAGTAGAGACAGAGTTTCACCGTGTTAGCCAGGATAGTCTCGATCTCCTGAACTTGTGATCAGCCTGCCTCGGCCTCCCAAAGTGCTGGGATTACAGGCGTGAGCCACCGCACCCAGCCCAGAAATTTCTATTGTTGTTGCAAGTCATATGTTATAATAGAAAGAATACTAGACGTGACATCCAAAAACCTGAAAACAAATTCAGAGAGATTATATGACTTATTCAAGGATGATGCAGCCAATATGTGATAGAACCAGGACTCGTACCTGGTCTCCTAATTCTAAATTAGAATTATTTTCCCTTTTTGTAAAGATTTGTAGTATTCATCTCCAGGAGTATGTTTTATTTACTTATTTATTTTTATAATTATTATTCTTTTTAGAGATAGGGTCTCACTCTCTTGCCCAGGCTAGAGTGCAGTGTTGTGATCAAAGCTCACTCTAGCCTCAAACTCTTGGGCTCAAGTGATCATCCTACTTCAGCCTCCCAAGTAGCTGGAATTACAGGCATGTGCCACCATGCCTGGTCAAGGATGTGTCTTAACTGCCTCCTCTTCAACCTACTGGTGAGGGAGAGATTCCCACTCTAGGGTTATGGGGATGGCCAAACACATAATACCCACCAATGGACAAGTGAGGTAGACTGAAGTTTATTAATCATTAATCACAGACCAAGGAGGGAGAACAAACTATGCCACACAGGGCAACATGGGAACAGGGTGAACACCTAGGGGCTGTGGGAGGTAGCCTTTGTGTCAACAGGGTAGGGTGAGCCCCAGTTCCTGTAGAAGAATGTGATTGACTTGTTTGAATGATTCCATGGGCCACCAGGGAACTGAAACCGCTCAACAGGGATAAATAGTAACTGTGCTGGTCCTGTTGAGAAGGAGGGTTGTTTGGCTAGGGGATCTTATCTGCAGGAATGAAGAGGGAAAGGAATGTGCAGTTAGGCCATTCAAGACCCTCCTGGTTTCACCCTATGCTGGTTTTACCAGCATACAACATTGGTCTTTAATGTTAGACCTTACACCACAGGGTGCTAAATCAATGTATTTTTCAGAATATATTACTTAGCCTATGTGGAGTAGTAGAAATAGTACTGTATGGGGAATCAGGAAACCTGGGTTCTATTTCTGTACTTATCTCTAGATGTGAATGTGATTTAATCTGTTAGGCTTCAATTTCTCCATCTAAAAATTGAAAGAGTAGATGATATCAAGATTGCTTCTTGAATTTTCTACACTCGTAGATTTAATGCTCCTTTAACACTCAAAATCCAAGCTGATTTGGTGACGAGATCTTAAAATTTCAAAGCCCTGCTTTTTCCAAATAGAGGCCAATCATATGCAATAAAATTTGGGGGGGAAACAATACAAAGAATAGATATTAAGTAACGTTTGTTATCTTTACGGTTTGATTTGTTGCAGGACACATTCATATGTCATACCATTACACAAAGTTTTGCCGTGGGCTCCATTTCCCCTCGAGACTTTATCGACTTAGTGTACATCAAGCGCTACGAAGGAAATATGAACATTATCAGTTGTAAGTTGAAACATTTTGCCCATATCTTGGAATTACTGCGAGCCATTAATAAATGTTTTCCCTTTATTCACAGCTTCAAAGAAATTATATTTTAATTATTTCCTTTTTAAATTTACTTAGTGGGATCAACAATTAGACGTATCATGTAGATATGCCTAGTGACACTCTGAAGGTGCCATTTATATAATGGTCAATATTTGCAACATCTCTTAGACTTTTGCAGCATATATCCTGTAGCACTGAGTATAGATAGATACTTGTAGCCTAAAACTTTGGGTATACATTTTTTAAATCCTAAGAAACAAAATTAATTGTCAGATATAATTTTATATTTGAATTGCTTATAATGCACATATCCAGTAACTGATAAAACTGTTAAAGAAATTTCCACTAGATGGCTCTTTACATAAATGTGCTTTTATTTCTTTTAGAAACTGCCGGTTTTGATGTATCCCTATCCCCACTCCCAAATATGTCATTCTGTAAAATGCAAATGTGTAATCATTTTCTAACTTGCATTATTGATGAGAACATACCATTTCATACCATACAGATCTATGGACTCAGATAACTTAAGATAACTCATGGTGAAGGAACTTGGGTATCACAGTGGCATAGAGCCCGTTTTTCTCTATAATTTGAATTAATTTCACCATTTCTACTTGGCACCAGGGACAACTACGTTTCGTTAATTATTATTTCCCAACAAGATTTCAGTTCCTCCGAGATATCTTTAGTACTCTACATTTCAGAGTTCAGACTAAGTCATAGCACTCATTCAAACCCAGTTAGCTCTTTCTGCAGCATACCACTAAGGGCTGATGTTCATAATGTTCATATATGTTTCGTTGTCTCATTTTTGAAATGAGGGCACATATAATGTATTCACTGCCTACAACATAAAATAGTTTGTCTGAACAGATCATAGATCTGTTATTTTCCACATTTTGAAAGCAGACCATTTCTATATAATTATTAGTGATCAGAGGGAAGCTAAAAAAAGAAGTAGAGGTTAAAATCAACAACTAGAGGTAATCAACCACGTGGTGCACAAATCACTACTCAATTTGCTTTTAAAAGTTTCCATTGAATGAATTTTCAATCAGTACTCATAGTTTTCTTAACATTTCTTTTTTTTTATCCTGCCCTGCACCTTGCTTTAAGCTAAATATTTTGCTTGCATTATCTCACTAGTGAGGAAACTGAAGTTCATGGAAATTAAGCAGTTAAGAAAGTAAGTTACATAGCTAATAAGTAGGTAACCCAGAATTAAAACTCAGATCTTTCTGATTTTCCAAAATAAGTGCTAACTACCACACCATATGCTTCATAAAAGACCCATACCTGTTTGTAGACTACAACAGATTTTTTTAAAGAAGACAAGCATAATTTCCATATTTCAAACAGGGAAAAAATCTTTTATAATAAGATCACTCTGGCAGTACTATTATAGGCTCTGTTAAGATAATGATATAAGTCATAAAAATGGAAAATTCATTCAACAACTCTAGTCTCCTTAGTGTTTTACATTGTATTTCCCATGGAATTGATTTGCTTTATGTTAAAATCATATCAGAAAATCCATCTTCTCTGACAAGAGCAGGATTCAGTTGCACAGAATAAACAAATATATCTTTTAAAATAGTTTTAGAAGAGTATATATATTATCATAAATGAAATCATAAACCACCCCCCTCTGCATTCACATAGAATACAGACACTAGGTTGCATAATTCTAAAATAAACTCTATTGATTTTTAGTTAGAGTTTGAAGTTAGCTACAGGGAATTGCAGAAGGAAGCATTTTAAAGTACCTTTACTGACAGACCATCTAACTACTTTGAATATTTTATTTAAAAAAAAAAACATGATTAACACAAAAATCTATGAACCCAGGACCCTAGCAGAATAGTATTCACCCAAAGCCAGTTAACAGTTTTCACTCAAACCCAGTGAGATTTAAGTTAGTTATCAGCATTAACTATTTTCTGAGATTTGAGCTATCTTTTGCTTCAAATCTCAGAAAATAGTTCAATGATACTTTTAACCATTTTTCTTGTATACAGAAGTTGACAGCATCTTTAGAAATAACTAGCAGGAAAAAGTTCAAGAGGACAATAGTGTTGATACTGGTATTTTCTCAATTTTGGCTTCACATGTGCAAATACACATTCACATATATAAAACTAATGTTAATGCTATTAACTAACTTAAATGCTATATGTTTCTAAAAATATGCTGCTGGAAATAGTTTTTCCTCTTTGTGAATAGGTTTCATTTTAATTTTTTAAAATCTCTTAGCTAAAAGTGTGGATTTTCCAGAATATCCTCCATCTTCAAATTATATCCGCGGTTATAACCATCCTTGTGGCTTTGTATGTTCACCAATGGAAGAGTAAGTGTTGTTTGCACTTATTTATTTTAACAGGTTTTTTTAGTTCAACTTGTGATTTAGTTTAAGATTGCTGGCTCATCAGTAGAAATATGTAGCAGCATATTCTGTTGCGGGAAAAAAACTTCCCCTAAATATGATTTTTAAAATAACTTCTTATAATCGTTTTCATTTTAAGTATAATCAGAATGGATACTTCCCTATAAAGTATGATCTGAGGTTTCTGAGAACAGTCAAACACACACAAACATTTCCCAGCAGTTAAGCTTCCTTGATGTTTTCTATTTCTCCATTAGAGTCATTTCTGTAAATTATTAAGGAACTTTTGTGAATTAAAAATAAACTTTCCTAGAATTATAGCACACTTAACATTTATCAGTAATGAATGTTTTACTTTGAATGAATTCTTCCCAATGGACTACCTACTAAGAGCAGATACCTGCAAAATGAGATCCAGTAGGTACATTCAGATAAAAAGAAAAGCCGAAGAAATCAGAGATGAGTCACTGCCTAAAGGTGGCCTTGGGATAAAATGGCAGCATAAAATATACTTATTTTGTAAAAGCATATACTCAAATTCAATGTATATCATTTCACAAGTTCCTTAAATTTTAATGTTTGCTAAATGATTTTTTATTAAGTAAAAGATATTGGCACGTGATAACAGATGTATTGGTCAGATATAAATGTCTCAGTACAAAAAAAAAAATGTATGTGAAGGAAGCCCAAATGAAATTAAATTTTGGACCTGTATTCCTTAACATTTCCTCTACTGAACTGGAAAACTAAAAAACCTCACAATTATTCATGTTAATGTATACGATTGTTGATGCAGATAATAATAATAACAATGTATGGTCTTTCTACCCATTTGTCAATTTTGAATCTATGGCCAAGACTTTATTCTCCATAGCAGGAGAAAACAAAACAAATGAAGGGTAATTACTCCAATTCAGCAAGGTAAATCAACTGCTGGCATGGACTAGAGTTGGAAAATTACACAGCTTAAAGTGTGCTTCACAGGCCAAGTCCCCTTCTTGCACCTTGTCAATGTAGAAGTGCACTCCAGTAAATATTAGAAAGGCTTTCTCATGTGTGTAAAGCCATTGTAAACACAAATAAAGATTTAAGACCATACAAACTACTAGTAAGGACAGTAGTTCCCCCATTTATCCATGGAGATACGTTCCATGACCCCAAGTAAATGCCTAAACCCATGGATAGTACCAAACCCTATGTATACACCATGGTTTTTTTAATCTCATAATCAAGAGGGCTACTAAGTGACTAACGGGTGGGTGGCCTATACAGCCTGAATACACTGGTAAAGGGATGATTTCACATCCTGGGTGGGACAGAGCAGGACGGTGTAAGATTTCATCACATTACTCAGAACAATGTACAATTAAAAGCTTATGAATTTTTCTTATTTCTGGAACAGGTTGACCTTGGATAAATGAAACTGCAGAAAGTGAAACAGAGTATAAGAGGGAACTACTCTGTTCTCGGTGTAGCCATTTGAGGCACTGTAAAAATAGTATAAACCCTGCATAGAGAAAAGTATAAGAAAATGGACGCTCACACTATTTGTTGGAAGGGTAGTCTCCCTTGAAAATTTTATAAAACTATATTCTCTCTTGCACATTTTTAAGTTGACATTAAAATTTTTCATAGGGATTACATTGATGAAAAGTAAATTACGTTGATGAAAAGTACAATTCCCAGCATGCGCTAAACATTGACATTTTTTAAAAAGCGGTTATACCATCCTTATAAACGTATCCAGTAGATTATAAATACCATAACTTGAAACCCACCATTAAATTATTCATTTCAAAATAAATACAACTTTTAACAGTCAGAAACTTTACATCATTCCTTTCCTCCTTGAACTCACATTTTTATTTTTCCCTCATATAATTTTATTCTAATAGAATATATTTTATGCTTTGAATTTTTTCGTAGTCATCCTAATTCTCTGTAAAAATGACATGTGTTTAAAGTTTTAAAATGTGTTTTATTTCCTATAACCATACTATCTAACAATTAAAAATATATATATGCCTTCTGGATTAAGTTGTTATCATTATATATTGATCAAAATTAAAAATGTTTGTATACAAATATTAAACATAATGCAAACTGTTATTAGAAACACATATTTTATTATTAGCAAAACTGAAATAGCACTTACTATGTGCTAGGCACTATTATAAACAATTTGTATATATTGACTCATTTGATCTTCAAAGTAACCCCATAAAGTAGGTAGTGTGACTATGCCCAATGGGCAGGAAAGAAAGTGGAAGCCCAAAGAGATTAACTATCTGAAGGTTACATATAGGTAATAGCAAAGCTCAGTTTCAAATCAAGGCAGACTAGTTCCTGAGTCCACGCTTTTAACCATTACACTCATTTCATTTAACTGTGGGTGTATATTACTGAAAAATAAGACAGCATTCAATATCAAGTCTACTACTGCTTTCATTTTAAGAAAATCAAAGAAAATTTATTAACATAAATGTGTTGAAATGGAGAGAGTATAATTCCAGCACTGTCATTCAATTAATTTTTGATTTAATAATAAATAAAAATAAAATTTGAGAATTATATAAAAATATTTTTTATTTTATTTTTATATAAAAAATTTATGAATTATATACCATAAATTATGTAGTAACCTATCATCAAAAAATGTTTATCATTAAAAAAAGACCTGGCCAAGCACAGTGGCTCACACCTGTAATCCCAGCACTTTGGGAGGCTGAGGCGGGTGGATCACCTGAGGTCAGGAGTTCGAGATCAGCCTGGCCAACATGGTGAAACCCCATCTCTACCAAAAATACAAAAATTAGCCAGGCATGGTGGCACAGGCCTGTAGTCCCAGCTACTCGGGAGGCTGAAGCAGGAGAATCGTTTGAACCCGGGAGGCGGGGCTTGCAGTGATCCCAGATCACTCCACGGCACTCCAGCCTGGGTGACAGAGTGAGACCCCGTCTCAAAAGAAAAAAAAAAAAAAAAAAGACCTGTCAGCTGACAACTCAATTAGATCCTTAAGTTTTACTGAAAAAAAAAAATGGCATGACTTGGAAAAGAATTTTTTCTCAACTAGCCACTAATCAGATTTTCCCTTTAGCATCTCAAAGATTTTTATATACCAAGGTAAAGCACCATAGTACCACTTAGTGTGGATAACAGGTATGCCTTTGTTGCATAAAGCAAGAGAAGGGCGATTTTGAACAGGCTGATAGGAAAGAAAAAGCCCACATCTCCAACAGAGACATATTTACAGATCTGATTACGGAAAAAATGCATATGGAAGTTAGAGATTGGAAAATTTATTCTCTTAAAAGTATTCACCCTTTCTGACCCCAGTGTGAAGATCAATGGGCTAGAATATAAAATACCACTTAGAGTGCAGTTTGGAATTAATGTGTCAAAAACCTTAATGCACAAACCTTTGACCTAGAAATTATAAGTATTTATAAAAGTGTAAATGGGGCTGGGTGAGGTGGGTCACACCTGTAATCCCAGCATTTTGGGAGGCCGAAGTGGGAGGATCGCTTGAGGCAAGGAGCTTGAGACTGGCCTTGGCAACATAATGAGACCCTGTCTCTTTAAAAAAATTTTAAAATCTAGCCAGGCATGATTGGGCACACCTGTAATCGCAGCCACTCAGAAGACTGAGGCTGGAGAATCGCTTAAATTCAGGAGTTCGAGGCTGCAGTGAACTAGAATCACGTCACTGCACTCCAGCCTGGGCAACAGAGTAAGACCCTGTCTCAAAAAAAAAAAGCATAAATGGATACATTACAAAGATATTTTATTGCAGCTTTACTTACAGTAGCCAAAAGTGAGAAACAACCTAAATGATAGTCAATAAAAGGACTGTTAAATAGAAAATGAAATACTGTCTGTAGCCATGAAAAACAGTTAAGTAGATTGTATGTACAGACACAGAAGGAAGTTCATAGTGTCCTATTAAGATAAAAATAAAACTAGTTGCAGAAAAATATCTCCATTAAAAAATAAAACTATATTTATATATGTGGGGAACATATTCATTTATGTACAAATGTATGCTGTTTTTGTGTATATATATAGAGAGAGAGAAAGATAGTCACGCGAAAATATAACAATTAAAACTGTAAACAGTGATTATCTCTGGGAAACAGGATAAGGGAAATGAGGGAGGGAAAATTTTCTTTAATTATGAAAAATTTATATTGTTTAAATTTTCATAATAAGCATACATTACTGTTAGAATTTTTTAAAGTCAATAAAATGACAAAAAGGAAATGGTGCCTAAAACTCAAGATTTTAAGAAATATTCTAGCCACTTAATATTTTTAAGTACAATTTTTAAGTATGTCAACGGTGAATAAGATAAGAATCCTGCTCTCCAAAAACCTGTAAAGTCAGTAGTTAAATCTAAAAATTTCTTATCTTTTTTTAACTCTTCTTTTGCTTACAGAAACCCAGCATATTCCAAACTAGTGATGTTTGTCCAGACAGAAATGAGAGGAAAATTGTCCCCATCAATAATTGAAAAAACCATGCCTTCCAACTTAGTAAACTTCATCCTCAATGCAAAAGATGGAATAAAGGCACACAGAACTCCATCAAGACGTGGATTTCATCATAATAGTCATTCATGATACCAAAAGAAGAAATGAGGCCGTTCTGCTATAAAATCATGTGTAGTAGTTATTGCTGTTTACTTCTAAGTCAACGCACATAAATAATACTGTTAAACTATTCTAGACAGTATTCTTGTACACATGGCTGAAGATAGTTCATAAAAATAAGAACTCATAGTTGTACAAGAATATGGCATTAAATACCGTTTTTAATCTCACGTAAGAATGATGTTAAATAAGTGTTATTAGTATATTTTTATCTTTTGCTTTTGTCCCTGTAAAATCCTCTGTATAAGGACCAATAAGAAAGCAGATACAGTCAGAGGTCAGCATTAACTAAAAGTTAAAATACATTTTAAATTGTTTTTCTTTCACTTACTGCTTAAACTGACAATTGTAGGAAACATGAACATAAAAATTGAAAAGAATTCCACTAAAATGTATGACCAATGACATTTAGAATTTTAAATGCAATGAGTCATCAAACAATTTCTGGTGTGGCCAAGATGCAATAGCCCATTCCTCCCAAGTCTTTCCTCTTAAAACTTAAAGACCCTGCACATAACACAATAAACAAGCATAGGAAAACTCAAGCATAGGTGGAAAGAATGCAGCAAGCTATCTATGGACGTCGGGACTTAAGGAATGACATTCAGTGAGTTCTCTGGGTTTCCTTATTGCCTCCCACATATCCCAGGTGGGAAAGAAACACACACACATGCACACACACACACACACACACACAACTGCATGCATGAAAAGCCTTCTCCTCCTAGTCATAGGACCAGGTGCCTAACAGAACAAAACACTTTTTTATAATGCCTACCCTACACCAGCCAAGCATCAACCTACAAACCACCCCCATGGTTTCAGTGTGGCAGAGCAAGGAGACACTTTTCTATCCTACCCACCCCTGTCCCACAGAAGCAGATGGTGGTGCCCTGACACACCCCTATCCCATGGTGTCTACAAAGCTGAGCAGGGAGCTAATCTCCCATCTTCTACCTGGCAGATGCAGACAGCACTGATTGCCCTTCCAGGTGATGTAGACTGACCAAGCAGGGAGCTGATTTCTATCTTCCACTCAGCAGAAGCAGGAGGTAACATAGGCAGTATGAGTGAAGTCCAGAGACAAAGACAGCTTCCACCTCCAGCTGGCAGCAATGAGACTTAACCAATGTCTTAGTCCATTTTCTGGGGCTATAACAATACCACAGGTTGTATAAATTATAAAGAAAAGAAGTTTATTTAGTTCACAATTCTGGAGACTGAGAAGTCCAAGAGTGTGGTACCGACACCTGGTGAGGGCCTTCTTGCTACATCATAACATGGTGGAGGGTATCACATGACACGAGGGTAACAGCAAGAGAGAGCTCACTTTTATAACAAAGCCACTTCTGTGATAATAACATTAATCCATTCATAAAAGCAGAGGGACATTCAACCCATAGCAGCTAGGTAGTGCAAAGAAAGGCTAGTGACCAGGGAGCTTCACTACCCTCTCCCACCCCTACTCTTACCCCTGGAGTCATCAAGGCCCAGCAGGATGCTAAGCCTCCATCCCCACCCTGCATCAGGGTGTAGTGGGAACAGTGACCCACCAAAAAAATGTCCATGTCACATCCCTGGAACTTGTGAATCTGACCTAATTTGGAAAAAGAGTCTTTGCAAAGATAATTAAAGACCTCAAGATGAGATCACCCTGGATTATCCTGGTGGCCCTAAATCCAAAAACAAATGTCCTTATAAGAGATACATAGAGGATAGAGACACGTAGAAGAGGAGAAAGCCATGTGAAGACAGAGGTAGAGACTGGAGTTTTACAGCCACAGCCCAGGAACACTTGGAGCCACCAGAAGCTGGAAGAAGTGAAAAAGGATTCTCCCCTAGAGCTTTCAGAGGCAGTGTGGCCCTGCTCTCAGACTTCTGGCCTCCAGAGTTATGAGACAACAAATTTGTCTTTTTAAGCCACTAAATTTGTGGAACTTTGTTATAGTTGCCAAAGGAAACTAATATACCCTCTCTGGTGTTAGCAGGGTTCAGCAGGGATCTGAGCCTCCATTCCCACCTGGGTATCAACAAGGTGAAACAAAGAGGTAGGACACGGGCCTACGCAGCACTCCACTTCCTTGTCACCTCCCCTGTGTCATCAGGTTCCACTGGGGAGGTAAGCTTCCAGTCCCACTGGAAAGCAAAAAGGATGTGCAAATCAGTGCCCCACCTTTGCCAGGAGGATGTCAGCAGGGCCAGAAGGGGAGCTGAGCTGCCACCTCACCCATCTGCAATGAGAGGCAGTCTGTGCTCTACTTTTGCCAGAGTGGTGATGGCAGGGCCCAATGGAAGGCTGAACCAACACATCCACCCAGTCCTTATACTACACCTGAACAGCAGGACTGCCTGCTAAAAATGAAGATTAAATAGGATCCAGAGGTCTTCAGAAAGGAAAGAACACTGTAATGGGTAAAAATAAAGTGTTCTCATGAGTATATTAAATCACATTTGATGGGCGACAAAGGTTTAAAAACAATTCAGTGGAACAGCATTTCAGCAAATGGTGTTGGAGCAGCTGAACATTCATAGGCCTTGATCTAACCT
This sequence comes from Homo sapiens, assembly GCF_000001405.40. Lineage (NCBI taxonomy): Eukaryota > Metazoa > Chordata > Mammalia > Primates > Hominidae > Homo > Homo sapiens. The sequence continues at coordinate 54,322,114 of NC_000018.10, read as the reverse complement.
TACACTAAGTATGAAAATTTACTTAAAATGGAATATGGAGTTACATGCAAAATATAAAACTATAAAATATTTAGAAGAAAAACACAGGATAAAGTTTTCAGAACCTACAACTAGGCAGAGTTATTACACTTGACACCAAAAGCATGATTCTTAAAAGAAAAAATGATAAATTGACCTTATCAAAGTTAAAAAAATGTATGCTATGTGAAAAACCTGTGAGGAGGATGGAAAGATAAGTGACAGACTGGAAAAAAAATATTTGCAAGACATTTCCAACAAAGTACTTGTAACTAAAATACATAAAGAGCTTTCAAAACTCAACTGTGTAAGAAACAATCTAATTAGGGACAAAGACATGGACATTTCACTAAGATACCCATATATCAAAAGATGTTCAGCATCATTGGCTATTAGGTAAGGGTACATATCAGTACAAGCTTACCAGAATAGCTAAATTTTTTTTTAAATAGTGATAACATCAGGTGTTGGCAAGGATTTGGAGAAAGTGGATCACTCAGACATTGCACCTGGAAATGTGAAACAGTAACTGCCTCTCTTGAAAAGTGCGGCAGTGTTTTGCAAATCAAACAAATACTTACTGTACAACCCAGCAATTGTACTCTTCATCCCATAGAAATGAAAGCATTTACACAAAAACATGTACACAAATGTTGATAGTAGCTTTATTCCAAATAGCCAAAAACTGGAAACAACCCACATGGGTGAATAGCTAAACTGGTAATCCATACACGGAATACTACCAAGTAATGAAAAGGAACAAACTATTGATGCACACAACAACTGGAATTGTCTCAGAGGAATAATACTGAATGAAAAAGCCAATCTCATAAGGTTAAATAGTGGATTCTTCCATTTATTTAACATTTTTGAAATGACAAAATGATAAAGATGAACAGAATTAGTGGTTTCTGGGGTTAGGGAGGTGGGGGAGGAGCAGAAAGAAAGTGGCTTTCGCTTTGAAAGGGTGGCAGGAGGGATCCTTGTGATAAACCTGTTCTGTGTGTTGACTGTGGCGTGGTCACATGAATCTATACACACAATAAAACTGCATAGAATTAACACACATGCATAAATGAGTGCATGTAAAACTGGTAGTATCTAAATAATGGCAGCGGGTAGTATCAATGTCATTTTCCTAGTTGTGATACAGTACTGTAGGTATGCAAGATATTACCATGGGGAGAAACTGGATAAAGGGAATATGGTATTATTATTATGTATTATTATTTTTCAAAACTGCATGCAAATCTACAATTATCTCAAAATAAGTTTAAAAAAAAAAATAGAAAAGCCTATCCAAGCCAAAAAAGAATGTCATTAAAAACTATATCATAATCGATAGCATTTGTTTTTCATTTATCTACCATATCACTCATTATTTACCAATATATAGTTAATGTGTTTACGTTATTAATATTTGTTTGACATTACACTTTACAAGCAATTTCCTTAGTAAAGATTTTGTAATCTCACTCTATGGATTGGAATGATTGTTAAAGAATATTAATATTTAGCCCCAGCAAAAAGCCTACTTTTATTCAAAAATATTATGTATCAAATCTAAAAAAGCACACACCCTTTTGGAATTGTGGCTTGAACAGCTCTGATGCTTCATAGAAAAATATTGTCAAAATTCAAGTGTAGGAACATACAGAAATACCATTCTCCTTAAGAATAATTAGGTCTTTTCATGGCACTCACTTGAAACTCCTTTAGTAAAACTCCTTTAGTGTTTAGTAAAAACACCCTCTAGCTTCACAAGTTTGTCTTCCAGCCTTCTTTGCATGAGAGAGGATGCACAGAAATCTGGGGACTGGAGACCTGTGGGAAGAAGAAGGGCACAGTGGGGGAGAAGCTGGAAGGCACATAAAAAACCACTACTATTTAAAAGAGGAGCAAAACTAAAGGGAGACTGTCTTCTGTTCCTAACTCTCTTCCTAAATCTACTGGGATTCTGAGTGTTATTTTCCCTTTTCTACTGAATGTTCGGGAGACATAATTAAAGATGTAGTTATACTATGATTTAGAATATGCCTAATTTTGTGAGTATGCAATTTTTACTATTTTCCAATTTAGACTTTACTCTTAGAAGAATGTGAGACTTTCAGCCACCCCTAAACTTCATAAACATACAAATCACCAAATTACACATTTTAATAAAATACATATCCCAAGAAAGATAAAAATCTTGAAATCAGAAAGCCAAACATAAGTTTTTTCTTTGTCTTACAAATAGGAAAATTGGATATTTAATTAACTTGTCTCCTATTTAAGGTAAAATGTAAATAATAATAGCAAACAAATTAAAAGGAAATAATACCAGGTACTGCATGTTTGATTCCTTCTCCTTGCCCTGTCATCATCTCCATATATTATGGTATTTTGTCACTTCGATTACTTCTAAATAGCTAGGTATTGCAGAAGGTACCATATATAATAATAACAATCCCACAAAACGGAAAGGTTTAAAGGTAAGTAATACTGGTATCCAAACAATATGACAAATAAAAATAATTTAACAATTCTGAACTTAGATTTTTCTATAAATCTTATCTTTCTTACCATATAACTCCTCTAATACTTTCAGATATTCAGACATTACTGGACTTACCAAAACAAAAATGTTTATATTTAACTAAATATAAATAGTCATAGTCTTATCGAGAAATTATCAAGACTATTTATGCCCCATGCCCCATGTCCCTTTTCAATGTCCCTTCTCTACCATGGTTTTGGACACATAATACTAATGAATCAGAACTGTGGTTTCCATAGAGGGGAGTGCAACATTATTATATCAGTTAAGAAAACGTTGGCTGCAAACAACAAAAATATGATTTATAGAGGACATAAATGTTGAGAGGTTTATTGATCTCACACAAGAAGTCTGGGAGTCTGCAGTAGAGATCTGATATGATGGCCTAATAATGTCATTAGGGACCAAGGCTCTTTACAGCACTCAGCTCTGCCATACTTAGCTTATAGCATTTGTCTTTCTGGTGGCATTGTCCCAATGTTCTAAGCAGGAAGAAAAAGAGTGAAAGGCAAAAGATATTTTAGCTGAGTTTAGCCCTATTTCATAGCTTTCTTGGGAACCCCAAGAAAGATGCTTACATCTCATTAGCCAGAAATGGAACACTGTTCACACCTGGCTGCAAAGGCATCTGGAAAGGTATTCCAGTATCTATAGTAAAAAAGCAAAGAAGCTCCACCAGAGTGCAGAAATAAAATAGCACAACTTATATTTATATTTATTTTTTTAGAAAATTAAGCTTTACTAATACAGAATATGCAGCTTGACTCTGGTGCCTCACCTAGCCATTCATGAGCATAAAAGATATTCTGAGAAATAAGGATGAGTTCCACAGTGTGGAAGGTTTGAAATTGGTTGTTGGCTTTCAGTATATTTTGACAAATTATGTTTTATAGGGGTACAGTTAAGCAGATATACTTTTAATGAAAAAAATCATCAGAAAATTGTGAATTGGTTTAAAAGATTTCTACAAAGAAATTAAGGATTGAAAATACTAATAATACAAACATGAACGCAGCTGAAATTTTACTAATATGAGATCTTTGCAATATTAAAAGTAAACGACAATATAGTTTAGATCTCATAAGCTAGCAAAAAATAGAAATTATCAAGACTATTTGAAATATGAAATTATATCTAATGTCAATGAAAACGAACTTCACCAGAAATATCTTTCATATATTGAGATGTTATCCAATGACAGTGGTTCATGTTTACACTTTTAAAATAAGTAAAAATAGATGTACATTGAATTAAAAGCACACTTTGGACAAAGAGCTGAGTATTTAAATCAGTATTTGGTCAAACTAAACCCAGCTCCTATTATTACTACTATCTTAGAATAAACTACGATATAAAGATAAATCTGAAATTTTATCCAAAAATATTTATTACAACTTTGTTTTTAAAAATAGTCAACATTTTAAAATTTGTCATTAGAGTACAAAAAAAACCTCTCAGAACTGTGAGCTAGCTTCAAGGCATATACTATATTGCACGAATTCAATATTATAAAACACCCAGGTTCAAGTGGTATGCATAATTATATTACTAATTTTTTTGGACATTAAATCTTAGAATAGGTTTTAAGTTATATGATTTTCAGAATCAACTTTGATTTAGGATTAATAGCTTTGGCGAATCTAAAAAATTCTTAATCTTCAACTACCAAAGACAGCAATTTATAATAAATCCTTTTTGTTTATTAAAGCCTGTCGCCCAGGCTTGAGTGCAGTGGTATGATCATAGCTCACTGCAGCTTTGACCTCCTGGGCTTAAGGGATCCTCTTGCCTCACCCTCCCAAGTAGCTGGGACTACAGGCATATGCCACCACACTGGGTTAATTTTTTTTAATTTTTGTAAAGACAGGGTCTTGCTGTATTGCCTAGGCTGGTCTCCCAACTCCTAGCCTCAAGCAATTCTCCTGCTTCAGCCTCCCAAAGCACTGGGATTACAAACATAAGCTACTGCATCCAGCCCAATAAATAATTTTAATACGTTCTGCTTTAAAATTTATCCACCACTTAAAGATTATTTTGGGACTCAATTCGTCAGAACAAAATTAGTTTGTTTTTCACTAACACTTTTTTGCTAACACTTTCTTAATATACTTCATTTTTTTCTAATAATGAAGTTGCTTTATTGTGCATATTACTGTACACACTTGTATGAATATCAACTGCCACAATTATGTGTAACAGACAATCACAAAATCTCAGTGACATACAAATCTAACTTTATCTCTTAAGTCTGAGCTCACTCACATGCCTGGCAATTGGCTGTGGGTTATCTGAGAAAGGATGAGGTGGGCTGACGTAACTGGGGCGACTTAGCTCTGCCTCATGAATTTCATCCACTAGCAGCCTAGCCTTTGTATGTTCTCATAAGAAGGCAAGGGAGCAAGGGAGGAAGTGGAAATATTGTAAGCACTTTCTAAAGTCCAACATTCCATTAGCAAAATCACATGTCTAAACTCATAATCAATAAGTTTCCAAAAATGATCATTTCTTAGAAAGAATTTTGAAAAGATAATGATGGAAAAAGGAGGACATCTCAGATAGTATAACCAAAAGCTGGAGATGAAACAGTTCTACTCTCCAATTTAGTAATTCCAGACTCCTATATATTACCTTTAACTTCCGCTTGCAAATAGCAACCCTCAATCAACTTCCTTACAGTACTTTAATCTAATGCAGTTAAGTGCACAAGGTGGTGCTTTCTACATTTTGCCTGAAGACATTCTAAGCCAAAAGTTCATAAGGTACAATATTTTGTTTTCCAATGTACTATAAGCAGCTTTTTTTTCCTTTTACCAAATATTTCATAAGAACTTCTTAAAGCAGTTTCCTCATTGTTACTCCAGCCTCTGCTAACAGTTTTCTGAGCCCTCTACTGCCCAAAAGCCTAAATACCACATATTTGGGGTTTTGTTGTATAGCCCTCCACTTTTATGTACCAACTTTTATAGCTATTATCTATTACTGAAATAACACCACAAAACAAATAACCACACATTTTATTCTGTGGACTCAAAAAGAATATGTTACATCATAAAATGACCAAGCTAATCCACTCTCTCAATAATTTGTAAGCTGTTAATAATTGTTTTGTACATAAAATAAGCTTCACAATCTTCAATTATATCAACATTTTTCTTTGCAATAATAATCACAAATTTAGACTCTGATGAAATCACAAGAAAAGCTTATGAGATTTTATTAGGTAACATCTAGAATGTTTACCCATAGTTGAAAGTACATATTCATGATGACAGGATCAAAATGTCCCATACCAATATTAACTTTGAATGTCAACAGTCTAAATGTCCAACTTAAAAGGCATAGATGTCTGGTGCAGTGGCTCACACCTATAATCCCAACTTTCTGGGAAGCCAAGGCAGGAAGATCACTTGAGCCCAGGACTTTGAAACCAGTCTGGGCAACACAGTGCAATCCTGTCTCTACAAAAAATAGCAAATTAGCCAGGCATGGTGGTACATGCCTGTAGTCCCAGCTACTCAGGAGGCTGAGGCAGGAAGATTGCATGAGCCTAGGAGTTCAAGCCTGCAGTGAGCTATAAGCACAGCACTGCATTCCAGTCTAGGCAACAAAGGAAGACCCTGTCTCAAAAAAAAAAAATGCATAAAATGTCAAGTTGGATAAAAAATCAAGACCCAACTGTCTGCTGTCTTCAAGAAACCCATCTCACATTAATGACACACAGAGGCTCAAAGTAAAGAGGTGGAGAAAGATCCATCATGCAAATGGAAAACAAAAAAGAATAGGGGTCATTATTTTTGTATCAGATAAAACAGACTTTAAATCAAAAACAGTCAAAAAGAACAAAGAAGGGCATTATATAATGACAAAGGGTTCAATTCAACAAGAAGACTTAACAATCCTAAATATATATGCGCCCAACATTGGAGCACCGATTCATAAAACAACTACTTCTAGACCTACAAAAAGACTTAGCCACATAGTAATAGAGACTTCACCACCCCACTGACAGTGTTAGACAGTACATTAAGGTAGAAATTAACAAAGAAATTCTGGACTTAAAGCAAACACTTGACCAATTGGACCTAATAGACATCTATAGAATATTCCACCCAGCAACCACAGAATATACATTCTTCTCATCCACACACAAAACATACTCTAAGATCAACCACATACTTGGCCATACATAAAGCAAGTCTCAAGAAATTGAAAAAAAATTGAAATCACCAAGCACACTCTCAGACCACAGTGCAATAAAAATAGAAATTAATACCAAAAAATCTCTCAAAACCATATAATTACATGGAAATTAAACAACTTGCTCCTGAATGGCTTTCAGGTAAACAATGAAAGTAAGGCAGATATCCAAAAATCTTTGAAATTAATAAAATAGAGACATAGCATACCAAAATATTTGGACGCAGCTGAAGCAATGTCATAAGAGTAAAGTTTATAGCACTAGATGCCTACATCAATGTTAGAAAGATCTCAAATTAATAATCTAACATTACATGAAGAGGAACTAGAAAAACAAGAGCAAACTGACTGCAAAGCTAGCATAAAAAAATAAATAACCAAAATCAGAGCATAACAGAATAACACTGAGACCCAAAAATCCATACAAAAAGATCAATGAAATCAAAAGTTGGTTCTTTGAAAGAATAAACAAGATTGATAGACCACTAATCAGATTAACAAAGAAAAAAAGAAGATCCAAATAAACACAATCAGAAATAAACAAAGATGACATTACAACTGATCCCACAGAAATACAGAAGATACCCAGTGACCATTACGAACACCTCTATGCACACAAACTAGAAAATCTAGAGGAAATGAATAAATTCCTGGAAGCATGCAACATCTCAAGATTGAACCAGGAAGAAACTGAAACCCTGAACTGACCACTAATGAGTCCAAAATTGAGTCAGTAATAATTTTTTAAAAAAGCCCTGGACCACATGGATTCACAGCTGAATTCTATAAGACATATAAAGAAGAGCTGGCACCAATCCTACTGAAACTATTCCAAAGAAAACTGAGGAGGAGGGACTCCCCACTAACTCATTTTATGAAACAAACATCGTCCTGATACCAAAAACTGGCAAAGACACAACAAAAAAAGAAAACTTCAGGCCAATATTGCTGATGAACATTGATGCAAAAACCATAAACAAAATACTAACAATCTGAATCCAGCAGAACATCAAAAAGTTAATTAACCACAATCAAATAGGCTTTCTTCCTGGGATGCAAGGTTGGTTCAACATATACAAATCAATAAATGTGAATAAATTATTATGTTGAACCAACTTTGCATCCCAGGAAGAATTAAAAACAAAAGCCACATGATCATCTCAATGGATCCAGAAGAGGCTTTTGACAAAATTCAACATCCCCTCATGATAAAAGCCCTCAACAAACTAGGCATCAAAGGAACATATGTCAAAATAATAAAAACCATCTATGACAAATACACAGCCAACATTATACTGAATGGGCAAAAGCTGGACGCATTCCCTTTGAAAATCAGAACAAGGCAAGGATGCCCTCTCTCACCACTCCTAATCAACAGTACTGGAAATCCTGGCCACAGCAATCAAGGAAGAGAAAGGAATAAAGGGTATCCAAACAGCCAGAGAGGAAGTCAAACTATCCCCGTTTGCAGACAATATGATTATATATCTAGAAACCCCCATAATCTCTGCCAAAAAGTTCCTATATCTGATAACTTCAGCAAAGTTTCAGGATACAAAATCAGTGTACAAAAATCAGTAGTATTCCTACATACCAACAACATCAAAACTGACAGCCAAATCAAGAACACAATCCCATTCACAATAGCTACAAAAAGAACTAAATGCCTAGGAATACACATAAGCAGGGAGGTGAAAAATCTCTACAATGAGAATTACAAAACACTGTTCAAAGAAATCAGAGATGACACAAATAAATGGAAACACATTCCATGCTCATTGATTGGATGAATGAATATCATTAAAATGGTAATAGTGCCCAGAGTAATTTACAGATTCAATGATATTCCTATCAAACTACCAATGTCATTTTTCACAAAATTAGAAAAACTATTCTAAAATTCATACAAAACCAAAAAAAAGCCCAAATAGCCAAAGCAATCCTAAGCAAAAAGAACAAAGCTGGGGACATCATATTACTTGACTTCGAAGTATAATGTATTATAAGGTTACAGAAACGAAAATAGAAAGTTACTGGTTAAAAAACAGACATATACACCAATGGAGCAGAGTAAAAGAACTCAGAAATAAAGCCACATACCTACAACCATCTGATCTTTGTCAAAGTTGATAAATGTAAGCAATAGAGAAAGAACTGCCTATTCAATACATGGTGCTGGGATAACTGGCTATCCATATGCAGAAGAATGCAACTGGACCCCCACCTATCACCATACACAAAATTAACTCAAGATGGATTAGACTTAAATGTAAGCCATCAAACTACAAAATTCTTAGAAGAAAATCTAGGAAACACCCATCTCGATATTGGCATTGGCAAAGAGTTTATGGCTAAGTCCTCAAAAGCAATTACAATGAAAACAAAAATTGACAAGTGGGACCTAATTAAACTAAAGAGTTTCTGCACAGCAAGAGAAACTATCAAAGGTGTAAACAGACAAGCTACAGAATGGGAGAAAATATCTCCAAACTATGCATCCAACAAAGGCCTAATATCCAGGATCTATAAGGAATTTAAATCAACAAGCAAACAACAAATAACCCCATTAAAAAGTGGGCAAAGGACATAAACAGACACTTCTCAAAAGAAGACATACAAGCAGCTAATAAACATATGAAAAAAATGCTTATCACTAATTATCAGAGAAATGCAATCCAAAATCACAATGAAATACCAACTCACACCAGTCAGAATGGCTTTTGTTAAAAAGTCAAAAATAACAGGTGCTGGTGAGGCTACAGAGAAAAGGGAATACTTACACACTGTTGGTGAGAATGTAAATTAGTTCAGCCACTGTGGAAAGCAGTTTGGAGATTCCTCAAAGAACTGAACAATCATTCAACCCAGGAATCCCACTCCTGGGTATATACCCAAAGGAAAATAAATGATTCCAGCAAAAAGACACATGCACCCATATGTTCACTGCAGCGCTATTCACAAGAGCAAAGACATATGAACACCTAGGAATCAACCCAGGTGCCCATCAATGATATACTCGATAAAGATAATATGGCATATATACACCATGGAATACTACACAGCCATAAAAAAGAACAAAGTCATGTCCTTTGCAGCAACATGGATGCCACTGGAAACCATTATCCTAAGCAAAAAACACAGAAACAGAAAATCAAATACTGCGTTTTCTCACTTATAAGTGGGAGCTAAACATTGGGTATGCATGGATGTAAAGATGGAAACAACAGACGCTGGGGGGGAATATAAGGGAGAAGGAGAGAGGGGATCAAGGGTTGAAAAACTATCTATTGGATACTATGCTCACTATCTGGGTGATGGATTCATTTGTACTCCAAATATCAGCATCATGCAATATATCTCTGTAACAAACCTGCACACGTATCCCTCAATTCTAAAATAAAAGTTAAAAAAAGAAAGTGAATATTCAGATGTTAATAATAAATCTAAATGTGATGCCCTATTTTTATGGCTAGAATCATTAATCCTGATTAGATATGATGTAAACTATGTGAGGAACATGATAATTTTGTGCACAATTTCATGGGATGCCACAAATTGATGCTGATGTAGTTATTTGATTATTCGGCCACCCAAACACCAAGGAAGTGCATACTAAGGCTAAACCTAAACTTTGGTGCATCTTTAGTAAATATACAGATTCTGTGAGTGTGTACCTCCCAAGTTTTTTTCACTGCTAGGGTGTTATATCAAAAAAGTTGATGACAATTGAAGTAGAACACTATAGTCTGGCTAAGCCTAAATAGATGAAATATTCTTCTGTCAACATCACAAATTGTTCTGTCTCAGTATACATGTATCTACATAGGTTTGGTTTAGATAAATCAACTATTGGCTAAACTTTATTAGAATACAAGTTGGTAATTTGAAACAAAAAGGAATGACCACTATGACACAAATATACTATACTGACCACTTTTTAAAATTCAATAGTAATTTCAATAGTAATTCAATAGTACTTTCTTAGTGAAGCAGAAGCCATGTTTCTTCATTATTATTATTATTTTATTGCCATTTCTGATGGCTAGCAAAAACAAGGATATGTGAGTCTTCTTTTCTGTGTTCCAGTGTCCAACTACCAGACTCTTGTGTGCCAAGAGGTAGATGCATCAACAACAGAGGCAACAGCAGCTTCTCAATTCCTGGTTCCTTATCACTGGGTTACAATTGTCAGTAACTTCTCCAGCTTTCCAGATTTCAAGAAGAAGTGGCAGGGTGGCAGCATACTGATTTCACTTTCTTCAATTCATAGTTCTACAACAGATCCAAAAGAAATAGCTAGACTGGGCACAGTGGCTCATGCCTGTAATCCTTCCTAGCACTTCAGGAAGCAAAGGCAGGAGGATCACTTGAGGCCAGGCATTCGAGACCAGCCTGGGCAACATAACGAGATCCCATCTCTACTTTTTTTTAATAAAAAGAGCTTATCTGGTGGTTGATTCTGTATAGTTCTCAGATTCATTTCTGGCGGCCAAACCTAGAACTCACTCCTTCAGCTTCTCAATTATTTTGTAAGCATTTAATTCACTACACTAAATTCCTTCTTACTTAAAATATGTACACCAGTTCCATTTTCCTGACTAATACATTTGAAAAAAAGCTTATAGTTTTCTCAAAAGCTTTTAACATATTTTTAAAAGATTTTTTCAATATTTGAGGACTTTAGTATATCTAATATATAATAAATACAACTTAGAAAAGAAAGGGCGGACACCCAAATATCACCAAATTGTGAGAACCTGACCACTATGTATCAAAAGTGTAACACTCTTTGTGAACTAAAATTGTTAACATGAATCAATTTTATAAAACAAGGCTGAAATGCAGAGCATACCTTTCTCCCAGAAAAAAAAAAAATAGTAGGTAATACTGTGAGGTAACAGGATAAGAGAGAATTCCACACTATCCTTATAACTTATTTACAAGTGGTGGTAGTCTGCAAATAAGAAAACAAAAAATGATTAAATCTAAGTTTGAAGATAGGAGATAAGACTTTGGACCCACAGAAGGTGAGTAACTAGAATGTGACAGCTCAGGAACCTTGAAGGACTATCTTCTCAGTAAAACAGCGAACTAGAAAAAAATAATCCAACCATAAAAATAAAAGAAAACAGGGGTCCGCTACAAGATGGCTGAATAGGAACAGCTCTGGTTTGCAGTTCCTAGTGTGACTGATGCAGAAGACGGGTGATTTCCGCATTTCCAACTGAGGTACCTGGTTCATCTCACTGGGACTGGTTGGACAGTGGGTGCAGCCCACGGATGCCAAGCCGAAACAGGGTGGGGCATCACCTCACCTGGGAAGCACAAGGGGCCGGGGAATTTCCCTTTCCTAGCCAAGGGAAGCCCTGACAGACTGTATCTGGAAAAACGGGACACTCCCACTCAAATATTGCAGTTTTCCAATGGTCTTAGCAAACGGCGCACCAGGAGATTATATCCCAGGCAAGGCTCAGCAGGTCCCATGCCCATGGAGCCTTGCTCACTGCTAGTGCAGCAGTCCGAGATGGAACTGCGAGGTGGCTTGGCATGCCTCGCTGGGGGAGGGGCATCCACCATTGCTGAGGCTTGACTGCGTAAACAAAGTAACCTGGAAGCTCAAACTGGGTGGAGCCCACCGCAGCTCAATGAGGCCTGCCTGCCTCTGTAGACTCCATCTCTGAGGGCAGGGCATAGCTGAACTAAAGGCAGCAGAAACTTCTGCAGACTTAAACATCCCTGTCTGACAGCTCTGAAGACATGGGACATCTCCCAGCACGGTGTTTGAGCTCTGAGAGTGGACTGACTGCCTCTTCCCTGACACCCACGTAGCCTAACTTGGAGACACCTCCCAGTAGGGGCCAACTGACACCTCATACAGCCGGGTGCCCCTCTGAGACAAAGCTTCCAGAGGAAGGATCAGGCAGCAATATTTGCTTTTCTGCAGCCTCCGCTGGTGATACCCAGGAAAACAGGGTCTGGAGTGGACCCCCAGCAAACTCCAACAGACGTGCAGCTGAGGGATCTGACTGTTAGAAGGAAAACTAACAAACAGAAAGGAATAGCACCAACATCAACAAGAAAGACATCCACACCAAAACCCCATCTGTAGGTCACGATTATCAAAGACCAAAGGTAGATTAAACCACAAAGATGGGGAGAAACCAGAGCAGAAAAGCTGAAAATTTTAAAATCCAGAGCACCCTTTCTCCTCCAAAGTATCACAGCTCCTTGCCAGCAATGGAACAAAGCTGGAGGGAGAATGACTTTGACGAGTTGACAGAAGTAGGCTTCAGAAAGTTGGTAATAACAAATTTCTAGGAGCTAAAGGAGGATGTTCAAACCCATTGCAAGGAAGCTAAAAACCTTGAAAAAAGATTAGACGAATGGCTAACTAGAATAAACAGTGTAGAGAAGACCTTAAATTACCTGAAGGAGCTGAAAACCATGGCACAAGAACTACGTGATGCATGCACAAGCTTCAGTAGCCGATTCGATCAACTGGAAGAAAGGGTATCAGTGATTGAAGATCAAATGAAAGAAATGAAGTGAAAAGAAAAGTATAGAGAAAAAAGAGTTAAAAGCAATAAACAAAGCCCTCAAGAAATATGGGACTATGTGAAAAGACCAAATCTACATTTGATTGGTGTACTTGAAAGTGACGAGGAGAATGAAACCCAGCTGGAAAACACTCTTCAGGATATTATCCAGGAGAACTTCTACAACCTAGCAAGGCAGACCAACATTCAAATTCAGGAAATACAGAGAACCCACAAAGATACTCCTCGAGAAGAGCAACCCCAAGACACATAATTGTCAGATTCACCAAAGTTTAAATGAAGGAAAAAATGTTAAGGGCAGCCAGAGAGAAAGCTCGGGTTACCCACAAAGGGAAGCCCATCAGACTAACAGCGGATCGCTCGGCAGAAATTGTACAAGCCAGAAGAGAGTGGGAGCCAATATTCAACATTCTTAAAGAAAAGAATTTCCAACCCACAATTTCATATCCAGTCAAAGTAAGCTTCATAAGTGAAGGAGAAATAAAATCCTTTACAGACAAGCAAATGCTGAGAGATGTTGTCACCACCAGGCCTGCCTTACAAGAGCTCCTGAAGGAAGCACTAAACATGGAAAGGAACAACCGGTACCAGCCACTGCAAAAACATGCCAAATTGTAAAGACCATCGAGGCTAGGAAGAAACTGCATCAACTAACGGGCAAAATAACCAGCTAACATCATAATAACAGGATCAAATTCACACATAACAATATTAACCTTAAATGGAAATGGCTAAATGCCCCAATTAAAAGACATAGACTGGCAAATTGGATAAAGAGTCAAGACCCATTGGTGTGCTGTATTGAGGAGACCCATCTCACGTGCAGAGACACACATAAGCTCAAAATAAAGGGATGGAGGAAAATCTACCAAGTAAATGGTAAGCAAAAAAAAAAACAGGGGTTGAAATCCTAGTCTCTGATAAAACAGACTTTAAACCAACAAAAATCAAAAGAGACAAGGCCATTATATAATGGTAAAGGGATCAATTCAACAAGAAGAGCTAACTATCCTAAATATATATGCACCCAATACAGGAGCACCCAGATTCATAAAGCAAGTCCTTAGTGATCTACAAAGAGACTTAGACTCCCACACAATAATAATGGGAGACTTTAACACCCCACTGTCAATATTAGACAGATCAACGAGACAGAAGGTTAACAAGGATATCCAGGACTTGAACTCAACTCTGCACCAAGCAGACCTAATAAACATCTACAGAACTCTCCACCCCAAATCAACAGAATATACATTCTTCTCAGCACCACATCGCACTTATTCCAAAACTGACCACATAGTTGGAGGTAAAGCACTCCTCAGCAAACGTAAAAGAACAGAAGTCACAACAAACTGTCTCTCAGACCACAGTGCAATCAAATTAGAACTCAGGATTAAGAAACTCACTCAAAACCGCACAACTACCAGGAAACTGAACAACCTGCTCCTGAATGACTACTAGGTACATAGCGAAATGAAGTCAGAAATAAAGATGTTCTTTGAAACAAAGACACAATGTACCAGAATCTCTGGGACATATTTAAAGCAGTGTGTCTATAGAGGGAAATTTATATCACTAAATGCCCACAAGAGAAAGCAGGAAAGATCTAAAATTGACACCCTAACATCACAATTAAAAGAACTAGAGAAGCAAGAGCAAACAAATTCAAAAGCTAGCAGAAGGCAAGAAATAACTAAGATGAGAGCAGAACTGAAGGAGATAGAGACACAAAAAACCCTTCAAAAAATCAATGAATCCAGGAGCTGGTTTTTTGAGAAGATCAATTTTGTTGATCTTTTCTTGCTAGCTAGACTGCTAGCAAGACTAATAAAGATGAAAAGAGAGAAGAATCAAATAGATGCAATAAAAAATGATAAAGGGGATATCACTACCGATCCCATAGAAATACAAACTACCATCAGAGAATACTATAAACACCTCTACACAAATAAACTAGAAAATCTAGAAGAAATGGATAAATTCCTGGACACATACATCCTCCCAAGACTAAATCAGGAAGAAGTTGAATTGCTGAATAGACCAATAACAGGCTCTGAAATTGAGGCAACAATTAATAGCCTACCAACCAAAAAAAGTCCAGGAACAGATGAATTCACAGCCGAATTCTACCAGAGGTACAAAGAGGAGCTGGTACCATTCCTTCAGAAACTATTCCAAATAACAGAAAAAGAGAGAATCCTCCCTAACTCATTTTAGGGGGCCAGCATCATCCTGATACCAAAGGCTAGCAGAGACACACACAAAAAAGAGAATTTTAGACCAATATCCCTGATGAACATTGATGCAAAAATCCTCAATAAAATACTGGCAAACCGAATCCAGCAGCACATCAAAAACTTATCCACCACGATCAAGTGGGCTTCATCCCTGGGATACAAGGCTGGCTCAACATACGTAAATCAATAAACATAATCCATCACATAAACAGAACCAATGACAAAAACCACATGATTATCTCAATAGATGCAGAAAAGGCCTTCGACAAAATTCAACAGCCCTTTATGCAAAAAACTCTCAATAAACTAGATATTGATGGCACGTATCTCAAAATAATAAGAGCTATTTAGCACAGACCCACAGCCAATATCATACTGAATGGGCAAAAACTGGAAGCATTCCCTTTGAAAACTGGCACAAGACAGGGATGCCCTCTCTCACCACTCCTATTCAACATAGTGTTGGAAGTTCTGGCCAGGGCAATCAGGCAAGAGAAAGAAATAAAGGGGGCTGGGTGCGGTGGCTCACGCCTGTAATCCCAGCACTTTGGGAGGCTGAGGCGGGCGGATCATGAGGTCAGGAGATCGAAACCATCCTGAGTAACACAGTGAAACCCCGTATCTACTAAAAATACAAAAAATTAGCCAGGCGTAGTGGCAGGCACCTGTAGTCCCAGCTACTCAGGAGGCTGAGGCAGGAGAATGGCGTGAACCCAGGAGGCAGAGTTTGCAGTGAGCAGAGATAGCACCACTGCACTCCAGCCTGGGTGACAGAGCGAGACTCTGTTTCAAAAAAGAAATTAAAAAAAAAAAGAAATACAGGGTATTCAATTAGGAAAAGAGGAAGTCAAATTGTCCCTGTTTGCAGATGACATGATTGTATATTTAGAAAACCCCATCGTCTCAGCCCAAAACCTCCTTAAGCTGATAAGCAACTTCAGCAAAGTCTCAGGACACAAAATCAATGTGCAAAAATCACAAGCATTCATATACACCAATAACAGACAAACAGAGAGTCAAATCATGAGTGAACTCCCATTCACAATTGCTACAAAGAGAATAAAATACCTAGGAATCCAACTTACAAGGGATGTGAAGGACCTCTTCAAGAACTACAAACCACTGCTCAATGAAATAAAACAGGACACAAACAAATGGAAGAACATTCCATGCTCATGGATAGGAAGAATCAATATCGTGAAAATGGCCATACTGCCAAAGGTAATTTATAGATTCAATGCCATCCCCATCAAGCTACCAATGACTTTCTTCACAGAATTGGAAAAAAACACTTTAAAGTTCATATGGAACCAAAAAAGAGCCCACACAGCCAAGACAATCCTAAGCAAAAAGAACAAAGCTGGAGGCATCATGCTACCTGACTTCAAACTACACTACAAGGCTACAGTAACCAAAACAGCATGGTACTGGCAGAAAAACAGAGATACAGAACAATGGAACAGAACAGAGGCCTCAGAAATAACACCACACATCTACAACCATCTGATCTTTGACAAATCTGACAAAAACAAGAAATGGGGAAAGGATTCCCTATTTAATGAATGGTGCTGAGAAAACTGGCTAGCCATATGTAGAAAGCTGAAACTGGATCCCTTCCTTACACCTTATACAAAAATTAATTCAAGATGGATTAAAGACTTAAATGTTAGACCTAAAACCGTAAAAACCCTAGAAGAAAACCTAGGCAATATCATTCAGGACATAGGCATGGGCAAGGACTTCATGTCTAAAACACCAAAAGCAATGGCAACAAAAGCCAAAATTGACAAATGGGATCTAATTAAACTAAAGAGCTTCTGCACAGCAAAAGAAACTATCAGCAGAGTGAACAGGCAACCTACAGAATGGGAGAAAATTTTTGCAATCTACCCATCTGTCAAAGGGCTAATATCCAGAATCTACAAAGAAGTTAAACAAATTTACAAGAAAAAAGCAAACAACCCCATCAAAAAGTGGGCAAAGGATATGAACAGACACTTTTCAAAAGAAGACATTTATGCAGTCAACAGACATATGAAAAAATGCTCATCATCACTGGTCATCAGAGAAATGCAAATCAAAACCACAATGAGATACCATCTCACGCCAGTTAGAATGGCGATCATTAAAAAGTCAGGAAACAACAGATGCTGGAGAGGATGTGGAGAAATAGGAACGCTTTTACACTGTTGGTGGGAGTGTAAATTAGTTCAACCATTGTGGATGACAGTGTGGTGATTCCTCAAGGATCTAGAACTAGAAATACCATTTGACCCAGCAATCCCATTACTGGGTATATATCCAAAGGATTATACATCATGCTACTATAAAGACACACGCACATGTATGTTTATTGTGTCACTACTCACTATAGCAAAAACTTGGAACCAACCCAAATGTCCATCAATGATAGACTGGATTAAGAAAATGTGTCACATATATACCATGGAATACTATGCAGCCATAAAAAGGATGAGTTCATGTCCTTTGTAGGGACGTGGATGAAGCTGGAAACCATCATTCTCAGCAAACTGTCGCAAGGACAGAAAACCAAACACCACATGTTGTCACTCATAGGTGGGAACTGAACAATGAGAACACTTGGACACAGGGCAGGGAACATCACACACCAGGGCCATTGTGGGGTGGGGGGATGGGGGAGGGATAGCATTAGGAGAAATACCTAATGTAAATGACTAGTTAATGGGTGCAGCAAAGCAACACAGCACATGTATACACATGTAACAAACCTGCATGTTGTGCACATGTACCCTAGAACTTAAAGTATAATTAAAAAAAAAAAAAAGAAAAATGAACTGGGAGAGAGGTGGAAGTATCATCTGAGAATGCATGCCTGCAGTCTGCCAAGATTTGAGGTTTAATTTGCAAGATAAGAAATTAACAAAATAGTCCAAGTGCCAGCAGAAGCAAGTGCAAATATTTCCTGGAGTGACACATCCTCATCCAGACCTTGCAGGAGTTCCACAAATAAAGGCTAGCAAACATGAACACACACTCCAAAATCACAGAGCACATGAGGAAAAATGCCAGCATGTGAGTAGTCAGCAGAAATAATAAATAAGACAAAGAATTATAGTCCCCCACCAAATAATTCAAATATTTGTATTACCTCATATAGAATAAAAATGACTTTGTTGAAAATAGTAATTAAAATAAAACATGACAGTTTTAACACAGACAGTGTAAGAAAAAGTGCAAGCGGATTTTTAAAAGAATTGAGTTTTCTACCATTCTGTCATTCTAGGAATAATGCAGAACAATCTAGGTAGTTTAGGCAGAAAGGGGTGAATTTATTACAGCTAATTAGGTACTTAGGGCATTGTTGGAAAAGTGGGAAGGGCAGATTCTAGGCTCTTGGGGATGCCTCCAAGTATACTATGTAGGTGTCCTACCATGAGAGCTTCTACCTTTAAGTCTACATTGGAACCATTAAATGCAAGACTATATATCACAGCTGTAATTCAAATAGCAATACATCATTACTTTTGCTTTCACAAATACTGGACATCCACAAGCTGATAACCCACAGGGCTAATTCCACATCAATGATGTGATGCTAATGGGACTTGGTAAGGAGAAGTGGGTGAAAACTAATTGAGAAACATTTGCAACAACATGGATGGAACTGGAGGTTGTTATGTTAAGTGAAATTAGCCAGGCACAGAAAGACAAACTTTCCATGTTCTCACTTATTTGTGGGAGCTAAAAATTAAAACAATTGAACTTGTGAAGATAGAGTAGAAGGATGGTTACCAGAGGCTGGGAAGGGTAGTGGAGGTGGGTTGGGAGAAGTGGGGATAGTTAATGGGTACAAAAAATAATTAGAATGAATAAGACCTAGTATTTGATAGCACAACAGGGTGATTATAGTTAATAATAATTTAATTGTATATTTTTAAATGACTAAAAGATTATAAGTTGATTGTTTGTAAACACAAAAGATAAATGCTTGAGGGGATGGATACCCCATTTACCATGATGTGATTATTATGCATTGCATGCCTGTATCAAAGAATCTCATGTACCCCTATAAATATACATACCTACTATGTACCAACAAAAATTAAAGACTAAAAACATTGAGAAATTATCTCCTCAAATCCAACAAAAGGTTGGAGTTTTTTTCTAGAGAATTGTAAAAGAGTAAAACTCTTTTTTTACTCTCCTCTAGAGGACAGTAAAACAAATGGTCTCTGAACTAGAGAATGTTTGGTTTAGTTGAGAATCTAGGAAGTATACTAAGAACAGGAAGATTAAATGAGTATACATATTGAATGCTGAGATTTCTAGTCCCTTTCCCCACATTGTTCCTATAACACAGCCAGCCAGACAGACAGACATTCATAATCTAAGTAAGATATTTTAATCATCATATTTGATAAACATAACCAGCCCCAAAGGAAAGATCTAATGATACGGACATCAGGAGTTCCCCCAACAATGGCCTAGCCAGATCATCCTGTATGTAACTCAAAGCTGACAAGTCCTACCCAAGCTATCAGAGCTTCCAGTCATATTTTTAGTCCCACATTCTTAAACAAATAAAAGCAACTTCAAGAGAGACTATACAGTATAAGGAAATCTTTGGAAGTTTTACCACATCTTTAGAGATGAGAAGATACTGTATCTGAGAAAAAATGAACAAGAACAGGGTGCTATGGAAATAAACATTTAGAGAATAAGGAAGAACTTTTTAAAAAAGTAAAATAAAAACAAAATAGCAGAAATGAAAAGTCAGCAAATGAGGTGAGCCCTACAATTGCCTTAGCTTACTGCCTGAAGTTTCCAGGGTGCAGCCCTGGAGGAGAGAAGCCAGAGAGAGCCCAGCAGTCTCTGTGAATTAAGGACCTGGGAGTCTGGAGGCACGAACAGCTAGAGTTCAGAATTCAGATAGCTGCAGAAATCTGCAGAAAATACCCCTTAAGTCCTCAGTTGAGTATTGATTATTATATGCATATGAACTCTGAGAAAGAAAGCACCTGAAAGAAGCAGAAGGAGCATCACAATGTAAAATCCAATGTATGGTTTCTCCTGAATGTACATTGTTTTTGCACCATTATGAAGTTGAAAATTTTTAAGTTGAACTATTGTAAGTCAGGGAACATCTGTATTCTGTGTGCACTTTAACAAAATGTTTTGCTGTTGTGTGGACTTTTGTATAAATGTCAATTGTTCAGGTCTTCTGTATCCTTACTGATTTTTTTTTGTATGTTCATTTTAGCAATTATTGAGAAAAAAGTATTCAAATCTTTGTGTGTGTGTGTGTGTGATGGGAGTTTCACACTGTTGCCTGGGCTGGAGTGCAATGGCACAATCTCAGCTCACTGCAACCTCCATCTCCCAGGTTCAAGTGATTCTCCTGCGTCAGCCTCCCGAGTAGCTAAGATTACAGGTGCCCGCCACCACGCCCAGCTACTTTTTGGTATTTTTAGTAGAGACGGGGTTTCAGTATATTGGCCAGGCTGGTCTCGAACTCCTGACCTTGTGATCTGCCCACCCTGGCCTCCCAAAGTGTTGGGATTACAGGTGTGAGCCACCACACCCAGCCTCAAATCTCTTAACTACAATTGTGGATATTTTTCCCCTTGCAGTTTTATCAGCTTTTGCTTTATGTATTTTGAGGATGCATTAACATTTAGGACTATTGCATTCTCCTGATGAACTGACTCGTTTATCATTTTGAAATGATTTTCTGATTAAATTCCTTTGCTCTAACAAGCAGTTTTCCTGTTGAAAGCTATTACATCTTTCTTTTGATTAATGTTAGACTCGTGTCTTTTATCCAATTTTTACTTTTAACATATTTGTCTTTATTTTTTAAAAAATTTTATATACACAGCAGACAGTTGGGTCCTACTTTTTCATGCAATCTGATAATCTCTGCCCTTTAATTGAGGTTTTTAGATCATTTATATTTAACATGATTTTGATATGACTTAAATGTACCAACCTACTATTTGTTTTCTATTTTCCCCATGTGTCCTATTCCTCTTTTCTCTCCTTTTAAGCTTTTTTTGGGGATTGAATTTTGTGGCTTTTTATTATTCTATTTCTTATCTTCTTTACTGGCTTATTAATTAAAACTTATTTTGCTATTTCAGTGGTTATTTTAGGGTTTATATTATACATCTCTAACTTATCACAGTCTGTCTTCAAGATGTAACCCACCACTTCATGTTTAGTTTAAGGGCCTTACAATAATATACTACCATTTCTATACTTAAAATTATATACTTCCCCTCCTGGCCTTTGTACTGTTACATTTTACTCCCACATATATTGTAATCCTACAATATATTTTTAATAATTTTTATTTTTGTTTTATATAGCCAACTTTTAAAAAGACACTTAGAAATAAGAAACAAAAAAAGCTTTTAAATATACTCATATTTCTGGTGCTCCTCATTTCTGTGTGTAGATCTGTATTTCCATCTGGTGTGCTCTTCCTGCCTGTTGGACTTCCTCTAATTTTATGGGTAATGTAGGTCTACCGGGCATGAGTTCTTTCATATGTATGCCTTATGTTCTTATTTTCCTTTTTTTTTTAAGATATCTAAGTTAACCAACTTTTCCCCCACTTCTTTACTTTATTTGAGGATGTCAGACCACTGTCTTCTGGCTTCCAATATTTTCAAAATTGTTGGCTTTGCTTGTTTTTCTGCAATAGTATGTCTTTTTCAAGGGATGGTGTTTATCACTGGTTTTAAGAGCTCTGATTAGGTTACTCCTTGGTATAGTTTTCTTCACGTTTATTGTACCTGGGATTTGCCAAGCTCTTTGGACCTGTGGGTTTATAGTTAACCTCAAATTTGGAAAAATTTCTCCATTGTTTCTTCACATATTTTTTACATCTCCCACCCTCTTCTCTTCTTTGGGGACTTGAATAAGACATGTATTAGCCTGCCTGAAGTTGTCTCATAGCTCACAGATGCTGTGTTTATTATTTTTTCTCTGTTTCTTTCTGAATAATTTATTGCTCTGACTTCTAGTGCACTAATTTTTTCTCCAGCAGTATCTGCTGTTAATTCCATTCGGTGACTGATATGCAGTATGATACTTACATGAGATATTCAACATTTTATTATAAAACAGGCTTTTTTTGTTTTGTTTTGAGATGGAGTCTTGCTCTGTCACTCAGGCTGGAGTGCAATGGTGGGATCTTGGTTCACTGCAACCTCCACCTCCCAGGTTCAAGCGAGTCTCCTGTCTCAGCCTCCCCAGTAGGTGGGACTACAGGCGTGCACCACCACGCCCAGTCAACTTTTTGTATTTTGGTAGAGACAGGGTTTCACCATGTTGCCCAGGTTGGTCTCGAACTCCTGAGCTTAGGCAATCCACCAGCCTCGGCCTCCCAAAGTGCTAGGATTACAAGCATGAGCCACCACGCCCGGCCCAGGCTCTGTCAACAGGCTTTGTGTTACACTACTTTGCCCAACTGTAGGCCAACGTGAGTTGCTCTGAGTATGTCTGAGGTAGGCCTGGCTAAGCTATGATGTTTCATAGATGTATTAAATGTATTTCACTCATGATATTTTCAATTTACAATGGGCTTATCTGAGCATAACCACATTGTCAGTCAAGTCATACCTATATTTACTAAAGTAGATCACTTTGGGGCCATAATACATCTCAAAACTTATTTTAAAAGATTCTGTAGTAGGGCCAGGGGTGGTGACTCACACCTGTATCTCAGCACTTTGGGAGGCTGAGGCGGGCAGATCACGAGGTCAGGAGTTCAAGATCAGCCTGACCAACATGGTGAAATGCCATCTCTATTAAAAATACAAAAATTAGCTGGGTGTGGTGGTAGGTGCCTGTAATCCCAGCTACTCGAGGCTGAGGCAGGAGAATCACTTGAACCCAGGAGATGGAGGTTGCAGTGAGTCAAGATCACACCTTTGCACTCCAACCTGGGCGACAGAGCGAGACCCCATCTCAAAAAAAAAAAAAAAAAAAAGATTCTGTAGTATAATTGGTCTGGTCTTCGTTCAGGGTTCCTGGACACCAAGCTCCTAAAACCCATGGAATTTCCTAAACAACAGAAGTGCCTTCATTATTCATGGTAAGCCCTGACACTGTATGCTAATGATGTGACCCACAGTGGGCCCTAGACAGCTAATGCTAAAAAGATGATTTAGGATGGAGGTAGCTCACTTCAAAAAAACAACCATGATTAGGGTGTTGAGACTTTGAGCCAGCCTGATGTCCAGACAGAGGAGGGAAACTGGAGATTAAGTTCAAGCACACAGTAAAGGTTTTAATAAATCATGCCTACGTAATGAAACCCCAAAGAAAACTCTGGACTTCTTGATTACTTGATATGTTTTATTTCTTGACTTGGACAGTTACATAGTTGTTACAATTACTCATTAACATGTTCATTTATGTTTATGTACCTTTCTATATACAGATTTTAAAATAGAAGTTTTTTTAATATTGAAAACAATCCAGATTTGATGGAAGACACAAATCTGCAGATTCATAATGAACCTAAATCCATGATAAATCTATAGCTAGACATATAATAAAAACTGCGTATCTCCAAAGTAAAAGATATTATCTTAGAACAGCTCAAGAGATGTCAGTTCTAAATCTACAGCTCTAAGGACATAATTTCAGAAGGTATAAAGAATTCTACCTAGAAGGAACATCTGACACACAAGAAAAAAGGTAAGCCCCCACCATGTCCCATCAAAAAAATAAACATTGACTATATAAAATACTAATAATATCCAATTTGGAGATTTAATAAAGAACTTGTGGAATTTAATTAGAATTAATGTTATTTCAATACCTTTGTGTTGTTTGGAAAGAGGGTAGCATTTTTAGATGTTTAAGGATAATCAAAAGGACTTGTAACATTCACATTCCAAATCAGTAAAGGGAAAATATATGATTAAATAGAAAACCCAACTGATCCCAAAAGATAGGAGGAGAGATAAAGGTGGGAAAGAAGCACAACATAGAAAAAGAAATATATTAAAAAATAAGATGGCAAAAAATAAATCCAAATAAATTTGTACTTTGGCACTACAGTGGAATAGATACTTTTTAGAGTTCTCCTAGTACAAAACACTAGATCTTGGAGAAAAGAGACCTCTTAATTCATTGCTGGTTTGTACCATATAAGGGAAATCTCCAGGCCTACACTCAAGACAGAAACCCCCTCTACACTATACACTCAAGAGAGAAACAGAAAAAATAAAAATAAAAATACCCTCTACATTCAAGACAGAAACAGGAAAAAAAAAAAACAACAACAAACTCGAGCTGAAACAAAAGCAAGAAAGCAGCAGAAAGCATCAAGCAAGAAGCAAGCTTGAAAGATGGGGTTTATCCCTGGAGGCAGATAGCTAACAGCATCTGCCTGTTAGTTTGGAATTGACCTGCAGAGACAAAACCTTCGGCTAGTAGTAAGGGTCAGGGAGCTTACACTTAAGACAAGGCATTCAATCAGGATCCACAAAGGTGAATAGAGTATGCCAAGGAGTTTGTACCACCTCACCCAGAGAAGCAACGAACTCAAATCATACTGAAGGAAAACATACACAATTTAGGCCCTCTGTCTTCTCGCAGATTAACACATACTCAAGGAAATAAGTCACAATGATATGCAATAATAACCTTAAATGTAGACTTATAAAGACTTAAAATATTGAAATTATCAAAAATATCATATATTTGACTTTTAAAAATTAGAAACAGACTTACAAGGGACTGTAATGAGTAAACGGGAAGTTAAAAAGAATCAAATGAAAAATATATTTATTGAAATTAAAACCATCATTGTTTTAAATAGCAGGTGAGATGCTACTGAAAAATGAACTAGTAAACAGAAAGATAGAGCTGATGAAATTACCCAAAATGCAGTAAAGAGAAACAAGAGGATGAAAAATATGAGAAATTAAGAGACATGAAGGATACAGTAAGAAAGTCTATCATTTGTATACAGTCCTAGAATAGAGAAGAAATATTTGAAGAGCTAGTGGTTGAGAATTTTACAGAACATGAATTAAAAGATACAGGAAGAAGCCAGTATATACTAAGAATAAAAATAAATTCGCACTTCCAAATAATACAGTAAACCTGCAAAGCACCAAAGAAAAAAGAGATAATCTTAAAAACAGAGAAAAAAGATCCCATAAAAAAGTTGATTCTGAGGCCCAAAGATGTTGAGACTAACTTAAAACCACAAAATAAGTAGCGTAACTGTGACATAGCCCGTACATTCTCAATCTATGAAATGTATTTTTAACTATTTTGCTTTCTCTTTTTAAGCTGGCCAAAACCATTTACTTTGTTTTCTTAGCCATTTTTTCTTAAGCCCCTTCTAGCTGTCCAAGGTCCTGAAATCATTACAAGGACTATAAAATGTTTTAATGATTTACAAAAAGTTATATACCCTTTTCATAAGTTTAATTACCTTACTGGAATACTCATGTAAAAAATACTATGTTCCTTGATTCAGAGTACTAAATATTTGCATGGTGAACAATTTCTGATGTTCTTGCTTCAAGTTACTGTTCCTGATAACCTCAAACTACCTATTTACAATCCTTCGTGTTAGCATATTTTCAAATTCCAAGGAATCCAAAACTAAGTTAAAATTTCAGAGCTGGGGCCAGGAGCAATGGCTCACACCTGTAATCCCAGCACTTTGGGAGGCCAAGGTGGAGGATCACCTGAGACCAGGAGTTCGAGACCAGCCTGGCCAATATGGTGAAATGTCATCTCTACTAAAAATACAAAAATTTGCTGGGTGTGGTAGGGCATGCGTGTAATCCCAGCTACTCAGGAGGCTGAGGCAGGAGAATTGCTTGAACCTGGGAGGCGGAGGTTGTAGTGAGCTGGGATTGCGCCACTGTACTCCACCCTGGGCGACAGAGTGAGACTCTGTCTCCAAAACAAAAAAAGAAAGAAAAGAAAATTTCAGACCTAGAAGAAAGTATTTTTAAGCTACTCTTTGGTTCATATTTGTGTACTTTATTTTTAAAGTCTCTTCTTTAGATTATATGTGCAAAAATTATAAACTTGAGACCAGGATACTCCCATATTGGTGCTGAGGGATACTTTAGTATATTCTATAAACATCCTCTATGTCTTGCAAATTATATAATACATTCTCAATCTTATATCCAATTTTTAGTTTAGCAGGCAAAAGAGGAAGGCAATAACAATGGGAGAAAGAGGACATCCACCAATTTAGTAATGGTCTATATTTGTGGTTGTTATGACAACCTAATATCATCTCCAAATGTAGGGAAGATACAAAAACATCTCAGTGCTTTTAGGCCCTTCAAACTAGCTAGAAAGAAATGGACTTCTTCCATTATCCAGTATGCTTATAGGCCCATCACCTTGCCTTTCTGGTGTCCATCTTTCCCTTAATTTACTTGCACGGAGAGTTCCTTCTACCACTGTTCTCTATAACATATACCCTCCTCTCACTTTAACTCCCCACCCTGGCCCTAGCCAAACCATTCATTCATTCAATGTTTATTGAACGGCCTTTGTGTGCTGTGTATTGTGGTAGATTCTTGGTGTATGAAGAAGCATTAATTGAATATAAATTGCTTTGGTATTTTAAAAGTCAACATACTAAATGTAATGTAGTACTTTAGTCAAAACTATCTATATTTTTAATAGGTTAGTTGGCAGTAGGATTTGCTATTCAGCCTAAGAGGCTGAATTTGAGATATTCCACATTTCACAGGAAAAAAAAAAAAAAAATGTGTCCTTTACCATATCATTGCAACGATTTGGCTATTTTTTATATATAAACATATACATCTCCCCACCAATTCATGAAAAATATTCTATGTTGACCATGATATTCTTTTTATTGAAAAGTAATATAAAATGGCTTTAGACATAAAAGATAGTATTTTACATTATTTCTTCTGTTATATTTTTACGCTTTGTGCCAGAATTTACTTCTTGCAACTATTCTTGCTTTATCTGGAACAGTTTACTCCGTTATTGAATATCTATTAGTGTTTAATATAGAAGAGCTTAATAAACCGCTAATCCGAAAATAATGGTATTCCCTTGCTTTTCAGACCTTTTTGCTGAATATGCTTATTTATGTCCAATGTGGAAATCTGATCCTGCTCTCTTCCACTCTGCCAGCAGTTCCTTTTGTACTGCTTCTGGTAGTTCATAGAAAACTTGAGGATCAATGTCAGAAGGGAAAGTAATTTTCTCATCAACAGAATCTGGCTCTCTATTTTCTGTAAGTCCTTCATGAGAGTCTGTTGCTACTGTTTGCTTATGGCTATCTGTAGTGTGGTTTCTGGAGAAAAGTTGCTCACTCTGCAAGTTTGGAAATGAATGAAAAGCAGACACAGCAGGGTTTGAATTTGTAAAGTGGAATCCTTGAGGTTCTTTAGGTCCTTGACTTATTCGTTCATCTTTTAATCTATTATCTAAATAATATGAATAATCCTTTTGGCTAGACATGTAAGAAGAACTACTGCTATTAAAGCCTGATGTTCCCGGTTCACAAGGAGATACAGAGGATACCTGTTTGCTACTGGATAAATGATCTCTAGGATTTATGGGAATATCTTGCATTTGTTTTTTAGAAAAGAAAGATAATACTCCTCTAGAGGCATGTAATGGACAACTCACACTTCCTTTCCCTTGAAATTTTTCCCTAGATTTTCCAGAAAGGATTTCTTCTTGAATATCTACTGGAAGCTGCTTGAAGACTTCTTGGTCAACACCTTCAGGAAGTGAACAGAGTGGGAATTCATTAATGTCTTTTTCTTTAGAAAAATTTGTGGTATCTAGTGGAGACTCCCTAGTTCTTGTACTTTCAATTCTTCCACTTGGTAGGAAATCCCGGTTTGTTTCTTTGTCTTTGGGAAAATCTTCCATATGAGTGTCTTTCATTTTCTAGAACACAAGAATAACAGACTAATTTACATATCTGATATCTTTTAAATATCGCTGCTGCTGCTGTGTGCCTGTAGCTATTATCTGACATGTTTCTAACCTACTCAACAAATACAACTCTTTGTGGCCAGTTCCAAACAACTAGAGATCTACTACCACAATTATTCACACTATTTTGTGAATCTCTACCCACTATTCCAGGAAGAGGTTTCCTTCCTAGATAGCACTGAGACAGAGGTAAATATGCATTTGGAGACCTGGGAAGATTGTAACAATCATGCAACCAAACTTTCAATTCTATAAATAAAAGAATGGCGGCCTAGAAAAGCAAGTTCACCTAAGGGTATTTTTCAAAAAAACATACACATATAGCATCAAGGGCTAGTTTTCCAAAAATTACTATTCTAAAGGGTAACTTTTAACAAAAAGAAAAAAAAAGCCTATAACAAAACCCAACATCATCAAGATATAGTACTAGTTTATATTTATATAAAATAAAAATTTAAAGACACTTTCAACTCTAACTTGCATAATTTTTCTATACAGTTTTTCATTTAAATCCTTTAGTTTCAAGCACCATAAAAATATAAACATAGTCAAATATAACTCCGTAAACATCAACACAATATGAACTCCAAAAAAGTAAAAGTAGTAGAAAAGATTCAGGCCCTTATATTTATTGACTACCTACTGTGTGACAAATACATACAAGGTACTTTCACTTATATTTACTTTTCTAATGCCACTATAAATGAGCACTTTTAATTCCAATTTCACAGATTAATTAAAATGTAAAAAGAAAACACTTTTTTAAATTTAATAAATGGAATAAGAAGGGTCACAGAAAAAAGTAATTTGAAGAGAGCATTAATTCACTATTTCCATACACTATCCTGTTCTCACTTTAAACTTAAATGAAAATGAAAAGGTTACTAAAATTATACTGACTAAACAAACACAAAAGTATTTTAAATTGAGTTAATTATAGGCATGAACAATTTAGTAAAAAATAATTGTTTTTAAGGCAACCCACATTTACTAAATAGTGGTTTGTCTATTAATAAAAGGGTTTTGTTTTAGTCGTCTGAAAATGTGACTGGCCTCTGCCTTTCTATTGCCACACTGTTAACTTTACAACTATGAAATCAGTAGTCAAATCTATCAATATTGCTATCAAAATTCAATACTATTTCAAAATGAAGAAAATGTAAATACTTTAACAAAAGAATCATGGGAAAGGTACTAGTAGCTCATGTGTCAGCTAAAAGACAAAAAGATGTGATTTCTAATATCTGCAAATATTTTAATACTTATGAGCTAATCCATCATATTTTTATATACTATAAAATGTGTTAACAATTCCAAAATAGAGAACCTCCATAATGGTTCTCTCTTTTATCCAGTGATGCTTATGTTTTCTTCTTAGATCACAGCATATTTAAGGCCAGAAACCATAAGATAGGTATTATAAACAAGTTAATCACCTAAACAATATCACCCAAAAGAATCTCTAAACTATATCAAAAAGACAAGCACTTAGATTTGTAATGTAACCACACAAATCCCATAAGAGTATACTTAGAAAACTGAACAAAAAAGAGTGTACTTACAAAACTGTGCTTGCCAGAGCGTGAAGTAGTTGATAATGATGGCATTAAATAATAATCAATAAGCCCTTTCTTAGCAGTATTTAGTGCTTTAAGGTTGCAGAAGCACACACTTAGAAGGGTAAGGTGAAATGGCATCTTCACATTCACCATATTTCGAAAAAGTTTCATAAGTATATCAACCATTGGGGTCATCACATCATAATTTCCTAAATAAAATGTTTAAGAATAAACATTATAATTAATATTAAGAGCATAATATATTTTATATTGCTGAGATTAAGAAATTAAAATCCTAAATATCACTGGGCATCTTGACATTATATACCAAATTAAGACATTTCAATATTAATACTAAATGGTTAAAAATTTTCAAAAGATTTGAAATATGGGATTTCTGGTTATACTACACTGATATGGTCAGAAAATCCTCTCTCAAAAAGCTACTATAAAACTGAACAACATTGTCAAAAACAATCATTTTGGTGGAAATCTGGAAATGAACCAAAGGCAAACAAAGTGAGAAGTACTGATCTATGAACAGCTGCTATATGTTAGCTAAGAAAGTAGGAGATAGCAGCTTCACTGTCTGGGACTGTTCGAATGTCCCTTTACATAGCTCAGTTGGTACAGGGTGAAGGCTGCAAAAGCCAGCAGTTTCACTTCCAGAGGGGACAGACCTGATTTGAGGCAGTGGGCAAAAGCCCACACTCAGCAGTGTTGCCAGTAAAATGAGCAAATTTGATAGGAAACGAATGGGAAGATCCCACAGCTCTGCTAGTCTGAAGCTTCAGTCGTGGTTCGGGTGAAGGACAGATCAGTGGACCAGCCAGATATGTCACCAGGAGATTTGGAAATGAGAGAACCAAAGAGGGACTACATAGGCTCCCCGTACAACCCTAGTTGACTAGGAGGCTACATGCAAATAAATGGAAGGCCACAGAGGGCCCAAGCTCCCCATACACTCCTTACTGAAAGGGCTACATGCACATCATGGGGAGATAAAGAGGGCCTAGCAGAAATTAAAATTCAAGAAAAACTTGAAAATGGCCTAATTTTTTTTCTTTTATACTTTAAGTTCTGGGGTTCATGTGCACAATGTGCAGATTTGTTACATAGGTATACATGTACCGTGTTAGTTTGCTACACCTATCAACTCTTCATTTACATTAGGTATTTCTCCTAATGCTATCCCTCCCTCAGCCCTCCATCCAGATAGGCCCCGGTGTGTGATGTTCTCCTCCCTGTGTCCATGTGTCCTCGTTGTTCAACTCCCACTTATGAGTGAGAACATGTGGTGTGTGGTTTTCTATCCTGGTGATAGTTTGCTGAGAATGATGGTTTCCAGCTTCATCCATGTCCTTGCAAAGGACATGAACTCATCCTTTTTTATGGCTGCATAGTATTCCATGATGTATATGTGACACGTTTTCTTTATCCAGTCTATTACTGATGGACATTTGGGTTGGTTCCAAGTCTTTGCTATTGTGAATAGTGCCACAATAAACATACGCGTGCATGTGTCTTTATAGTAGCATGATTTATAATCTTTTGGGTATATACCCAGTAATGGGATCACTGGGTCAAATGGTATTTCTAGTTCTAGATCCTTGAGGAATCACCACACTGTCATCCACAATGGTTGAACTAATTTACACTCCCACCAACAGTGTAAAAGTGTTCCTATTTCTCCACATCCTCTCCAGCATCTGTTGTTTCCTGACTTTTTAATGATCGCCATTCTAACTGGCATGAGCTGGTATCTCATTGTGGTTTTGATTTGTATTTCTCTAATGACCAGCAATGATGAGCATTTTTTCATATGTCTGTTGGCAGCATAAATGTCTTCTTTTGAAAAGTGTCTGTTCATATCCTTTGCCCACTTTTTGATGGGGTTGTTTGCTTTTTTCTTGTAAATTTGTTTAACTTCTTTGTAGATTCTGGATATTAGCCCTTTGTCAGATGGGTAGATTGCAAAAATTTTCTCCCATTCTGTAGGTTGCCTGTTCACTCTGCTGATAGTTTCTTTTGCTGTGCAGAAGCTCTTTAGTTTAATTAGGTCCCATCTGTCAATTTTGGCTTTTGTTGCCATTGCTTTTGGTGTTTTAGTCATGAGGTCTTTGCCCATGCTTATGTACTAAATGCTATTGCCTAGGTTTTCTTCTAGGGTTTTTATGATTTCAGTTCTAACATTTAAGTCTTTAATCCATCTTGAGTTAACTTTTGTATAAGGTGTAAGGAAGGGATCCAGTTTCAACTTTCTACATATGGCTAGCCAGTTTTCCTAGCACCATTTATTATATAGGGAATCCTTTCCCCATTGCTTGTTTCTGTCAGGTCTGTCAAAGATCAGATGGTTGTAGATGTGTGGTGTTATTTCTGAGGCCTCTGTTCTGTTCCATTGTTCTGTATCTCTGTTTTTCTGCCAGTACCATGCTGTTTTGGTTACTGTAGCCTTGTAGTATAGTTTGAAGTCAGGTAGCATGATGCCTCCAGCTTTGTTCTTTTTATTTAGGATTGTCTTGGCTATAGGGGCTCATTTTTGGTTCCATATGCAATTTAAAGTATTTTTTTCCAATTCTGTGAAGAAAGTTAGTGGTAGCTTGATGGGGATGGCATTGAACCTATAAATTACTTTGGGCAGTATGGGAAAATGGCCTAAATTTTTTAAGCCCTCTCCAACCCATACACTTATCCACTGGCAGAGGTAGACGGCTTCCAGACTCTAGTGTTTGAGCAAAACCTTTGCCAATCACTGGCTAACCATGAAACTATACAGACATGGGCAACTTCCCAGAAGCCAGTATTAAAATAAAAATTTGAATGGAAAAAAAAAAAAAAAACACTTGAGCAGAGAAATCAGTGGCTACACAGCACAGGGGAGGTAAATTCTGCAGATTACGTTCAGACAAGTTACCTAAAAAGAAGTACAGGAAACAAAAAAGAAAAAACCCTACAAGAAAAAATTGTAAATCCAGAGTTGCTACAATACATTATCTATGAGGTTCAGTTTTCAATAAAATAGTTCAAAACATGCAAAGAAACAGGAAAGTGTGATACATATTTGGGAGGAAAAGCAGTTAACATAAATTGACTTTGAGGTGAACTTAGCAAAGACTTCAAATTCATTATTATAGATATGTCCAAAGAATTAAAGACAACCATGTTTAAAGAATTAAAGTAAAATATAATGACTACAAAAAAAGGAGAATCTTGATAAAGAAACAAAACCAAACATATAAACAAAAGACAAACAGAAATTCTAGAGTTAAAAAGTACAGTAACCAAAACCAACAAATCACTACAGGGGCAACAGCGGTTATGAGATGACAGATGAATCAGAGAACTTACAGGCAGCTCAATACAAATTATCCACTTTGTAAGAAAAAACGGAAAAAAAAAAAGACTACAGAAAAATAAACAGAGCAGCAGAGACCACCACAGGGTGGAATCAGTGTTAAGGATAAACATATAGACCAATGAAACAAGAAAGTCAGGAAATAAACTCTTATATTTATGGTCAATTAATTTTTGACAAAGATGTCATGGTAATTCAGTGGGTGGAGAATAGTCTTCAACAAATGATGCAGGAACAACTGGATACCCACATGCAAAGCAAAGAATGAAGACCCTTACCGTATACCACACATAAAAAAATTAACTCAAAATGGACCTAAACATAAAGCTTAAAAACTATAAAACTTCTAACAGAAAACAGAAAAAAATATCTGTGACCTTTGAGTTAGGCAAAGAATTTTTACATATAACACCAAAAACACTATCCATAAAAGAAAAACCACACTACTATATACCGCTAGAACAACTATAATCAAAGAGACTGATAATACAAATATTGGCGAAAATATGAAAAACTGGAACCTTCAAATATTGTTGATGAAAATGTAAATTAATACACAAACTTTGGAAAAAAGTTGGCAGCTTCTTAAACAGTTCATGTTACCATATGATCCAGCAATTCCACTCTTTGAAATCTACCCAAGATAAATGAAAACATATGCATATGCCCATCCAATGACTTGCATTTAAATGTTCTTCAAAATGGAAACAATCTAAATGCCCATAAAGAAGTTATCTCATGCTATACAGTTATCACAGTTTTGTTCTCTTTGAACTTGGAAAACATTCTTAAATGACTCTTTACTTAATTATCTATTTAAAAACAAGGCCAGGTGCAGTAGCTCATGCCCATAATCCCAGCACTTTCGGAGGCTGAGGCAGAAGGATTGCTTGAGCTCAGGAGTTTGAGACCCTGTCTATCCTAAATATCAAAAAAGTTAGCCAGGTCTGGTAGCATGCACCTACTGTCCCAGCTACTCGGGAGGCTGGGGCAGAAGAATTGTTTGAGCCTGGGAGACAAAGGCTGCAGTGAGCTATCACAGCACCACTGCACTTCAGCCTTGGTGCAGAGCAAGACCCTGTCTCAAAAAATAAATAAATAAATAAACAAACAACAAAGTTTTCCAGTGAAAATTCCTGATAGAATAAAAGCATTTAATTGCTTGCTAATTCCCTGTGAAGACCCTCCATTTTTGGAGCATATTTCTCATTCAAAGTTGGCTTATTTAAGAGTTCAACCTGCTAATGAAACTGTTGGAAAACTAGTCCATACCTGTCCCTAATTTCTGAATTACATGTGAAGGAATAGGGCACTGACGACTCTCACGACCATAGTGCTTCTCAGAGGAATACCGACGGATTATTAATCTCACTGTATGAGGCTTCCTTCCATCTTGGCATACTCTAAAAATAAAGAGAAAGTGGAAATAAGGAATTAGAAAAGTATTACCTTTTTAAATTATGTAACATCTCATTTATCTAAAGGTGCCAGATTTTGTTAAATATGACAATTATACATATAGCAGATAACAAAATAGTAAGCAATAAAGGTCCCTGAGTATCCAAATAATCATCACAAAGTCTATGCACTAAAACTCTGAATGTTTAGATGTCAAGCTCTCAGGCCTCACTCAGAATTGAGTGCTGTCAGAAATAGAAGAGATATAAGATACAATCATAACAAACTGTTTTATAATACAGATCCAAAACAAAACTAAAAGCAACCAATTTTTTTTTTTTTGAGATGGAGTCTCACTCTGTTGCCCAGGCTGGAATGTGGTGGCACAATCTCAGCTCACTGCAACCTTCACCTCCCAGGTTCAAGCAATTCTCCTGCCTCAGCCTCCTGAGTAGCTGGGACTACAGGCATGTGTGACCACACCTGGCTAATTTTTGTATTTTTAGTAGAGAGGTGGTTTTGCCATGTTGGCCAGGCTGGTCTCGAACTCCTGACCTCAGGTGATCCCCCCACCTCAGCCTCCCAAAATGCTGGGATTACAGACGTAAGCCAACACACCTAACCAAAAGGCAACAAATTAAAATCAGCAGGAAATTTAAGAAACTGAATCATTCACTGACAAAAGCAAATAAGTGAAAAATAACAAAAGAACTTTTTTCAAACTTTTTTCTTACGAGATTACCAAAAAAAAGATTTTTTTTTACAAAATGACATTACTTTTGTTAAAGAGTAATCACTATTACCATTATATGATAGCTTATTAGAGCAATATCTTAAAAGAGCATATACTATATTTAGTATATAATTAATATACAATATGAGTACATGCATTTTTTAGAAGAGTTTCATGCAAATGTCTTGGTTTTGGTGTTGAAACAAAGGTTTTAGTGATATGACAAATTCACTTAAGTAGTACTGGAAAAAATGTCATTAAAGGATAACATTTCCCTTTTTATACACATGGCAATGCATATAAAACCAAATCTCAAACATAAAATGCAAGTATTGCACATTGTTAAACACACTCAACTTGAAGATTCTGATCTGAAAAAAATAGTTCTGGGCCAGGCACGGTGCCTCGTACCTGTAATCCCAACACTTTGGGAAGTTGAGGTGGGAGGATCACTTGAGCCCAGGAGTTCAAGACCAGCCTGGGCAACATAGCAAGACCTCATCTACAAAAATTTAAAAATTAGCTAGGCTTGATGGCAGGTGCCTTCCCAGCTATTCTGGCGGTTGAGGTGGGAGGATTGCTTGAGCCCAGGAGGCTGAGGCTGCAGTGAGCCCTAACTGCACTACTGCCATCCAGCCTGGGTGACAGAGCAAGACCCTATCGCAAAAACATAAAAAATTAAATAGTTCTGTAGTAAATAATTTTTTCTATCTCTTACTGCTTTGTGACAAAACTTCTCGATGGCTGCTTAACTAGGATAAAATACCTTAAATGGTTACTAGTTTAAATATCTTCCAGTTAAACGTGTTATATTAATTATGCAATTCAAAGAGTATGATATGCTAATTAAGACACATTAGAAAAAGGCTGTATCGTAAGCAATCTTAAACTAGTGCCTAGAGGATGGATTAAAAATAATACGGTTTTACATTTCTTACATACCTATAGTATTAATCATAACATACTCTAGAGAAAACAAAACTAATTATACACAAATACACACACACACACACACACACACACACACACACTCCTGTAATTTTTTTTTTTGCAAGTCACTTAGATGGTGTTATAATTCAGTCACTGAAATAAGGGCCCGTGGTGTGGGAGAAAAGGAGCCGGGAAGCAGAGATACAGACAAATGGTTAATTTCACAGGTTTTGTATGTCACAGGTTTAGAGCACCTGGTCTCACTTCTGGGTTGACTCTTCAAATAAGAGAACCTGTAAAACTTATACTTCTTGTGGTTTTTCTATGTGAAGAACTGTCTCCAAAGGTTAGGCATTTCAGGGTAGTCTTCTATTTAGCTGAAGCAAATGACCCAGTTTCACTAGCATACTCGCAGGCCCAGCCTGAGTCATATCACGGGAGGCCAGTCATACAGCCAGCCCCAGCTGCATGCAGCCAACAATGAGCTGCATGGCTCTGCTCAAGACATTTGAGTGCCACATTGCACACGACAGCAAAGTTGGAGGAAATTTCACTTCTTCAGTTTTCTCAGACTTAGAACCAACCAAAAACCATTTTCTCTAAATACAGTTAGTCCTCCTAGAATCATTAGAGAAGCACACCTACTCTAAACTGTTAGAGCCCTGAAACCACAATTTGAGAAATTTCTAACAAGAAGAGGAGAAACAAAGAAATGGGACGAAAACAGATAATACTCATCTGTGGAATATGGAATATTGAGAAATACATGTATAATGACAAGGAGCACCACAAAATTAAATTTCCTTTTCAGTTTATCTTGTACTACTCATATATTTATAACCCCAGTTGATACTCTTTACATACAGATCAGAAACCCTGCACACACCTGCAGTCACTCACCCTACTCACACACAGCGCCAGCTAGCCATTCTTTCCTTCGACTCCATTTTATTTTACAGTCTGAGGCAAAAGAGATACAAGGGTTCTTCTGCTTCTTCCATCACTGTTACTTTAATAATTTCCTATCCTCAACAATCACAAATTTATATAGTTGTTCCTGTATCAGGAGTTTTAGAATTATGACAGTATTATTCCTCTTTGCATTTTTTTCTTCTTAATGAAATGCAAGTAACTATTAGCAGAGGCACAGATAAATGGTTAATTTCACGGGTTTTGTATTTCGCATGTATTTGTATTTAGCATGGTACTAACTTAATGAAATGCAACTAACTATTAGGTTGAGGGCAGAGGCTTTGCAATTGCCACAGGGAAAAATTAAAACTTCTTCTTCTCACCTGAAGACCAGAATAAGTCTAGAAATGTTAGAAATATCCATAAAACCCCTTTAGGTAACTATCTGCAGCTTTAGATCCATAGCATAACCACAGTGTTAACAGAATTAAGACCAATGAATTCAATTTAGGTAAGACCCCCTATTACCATCTTTACAACAGTTTATAAAGCAGAGAAATCCCATGATAAATTATTTTTACATTGTTTAGTCTCCAGATAATCTGTCAGTTCCAAGATGGAACATCAAATATTCTTTCCACATACCGTATATAGAATGAATACATAGGATGACTTGGCAAAATGGATTGAAAATCACCTGTTTAAAAGACTAGCAAGTAGTTCTTCAATCTTATTTTTAGCTTCAACTTCAGATGAACATTTTTTAAATGAATCTTCTTCACTAAAGGACTATCAAAGAAGCATAAATAAGGATTAGCACAAACTCAAATAACTATATCTAATTATTATCAGTGTACAGTCAAATAAATATTCAATACATTCTTCACTAACTTACCTCTTGTCCTTAGTTTGAGCCATTTAGTTCACTTTTATATTAACAGTTTTTTATCTGCAAGCTATTGTACTCACTAGAAAGTTAATATAAAATATTACTGTATTAACAGTTAATATAAAACAGTTAATATAAAATAATTCAAAGTTATGAAAACTCTAAAGCTCTAGTACCAACTCCAAGCTTTATTGTATGATTATGGCAAGAGTTCTTAATCACCTAGGACTTGAATCTAAGTTTATCCTTGGACAAGTTATTTAACCTTTCTAAAGTACGGTATCCTCATCTTGAGAGAGAGAGAATGGAAGGAAGGAAGGAAAGAAGAGAAGTAAGAAGGAATGGACAAACAACAGTACTACCTACCTTGATGCTTTGTTGTGAAGATTAAATGGACTAACATATTTAAAGCACTCAGTAAAGTGCTTGTCCCATAGCAAAAAAATCAGTCAATGTTAACTGGGTGATTATACCTTTCCCATTTGCTAAATCACTGGACTACTCTGAAAACAAGATTTTTAACAGATTAAAATATTTTGCCTCATATATGCATTATAGGCTATTAAAATTAAGTTGCACTGTCTTCAATCATAGTAGCTAACTTAAGATATCAAAATATCAATGCTTAAGATTCCATTTAAGAATACTTATTAATCCAATCTATTAATAATAAATCAGCCTTCTAATAGGAAAGGGATCACATACTAAGCAAACTAGAATAGTAAGAACATGGTACTAAAACTAGAAATCTTTATCTCAAATAATGTGATAACCAGTACTTAATTAAAATAAGTATCATCATGTACCTGAGGTGGTCCTGAGAGTATCACAGGGGAGTTATCCTCTCCAAAACTGAGCTTTTGGATACGCTGAGCAACTGAAATTCCTAATTCTTTTTCTAAAATTTTGGGTGAAAAGGTTTGGAGATCACGCACACTATTGATACCCAGTGCTTCAAGACATTTGGCAGTTTTATAGCCAATACCTAAATAAAAAGAAATGCATACAATGTTAAAATAGCTTTTCTCCTTAAAACAAAGCTAATTAAAATATTATAAATATATCAA
This sequence comes from Homo sapiens, assembly GCF_000001405.40. NCBI lineage: Eukaryota > Metazoa > Chordata > Mammalia > Primates > Hominidae > Homo > Homo sapiens. The sequence goes on along the minus strand of NC_000018.10, from coordinate 54,282,754 downwards.
TCTTATCTTTAAGTTCTATAATTTATACAGTAGTCCCCCCTTATCCACAGGGGATACATTCTAAGACCTTCAGTGGATGCCTGAAACCATGGACAGTATCAAACCCTATATATACAGTACTGTTTTTCCCATTACATATATACCTATGATAAAGTTTAATTTATAAATTAGGCACAGTAAGAGATTAACAATAATAATAAAACAGAACTATAACAATATACAATATACAAGTTATGTGAATGTGGTCTCTGCCTCTCTCTCTCAAAATATCTTATTATTTTCAGACCACAGTTGACTGCAGGTAATAGAAACTGTGAAAAGTGAAACTGCAGATAATGGGGGACTACTGTATTTTGCAAAGATCAAACCCCATTGCAAACTAGGTTGCTGTTCTTCCACTCAGGGCTCCTGAATTATATGCACCTCTTTGAAGTCCTCACAAAATGCAGTAAAATAAAATGAATACAGAGACAGCCAATAAATGCTGTCTTACTAAAACAAAAATTTTACCACCTGTTATGTAATATTCCAGAAATATTCAGAAATCATGATTATTATTAATATACAAAAAGGCTGCCACTAGAGCAATTAAAATAAATTAAGTGTACATATTAGGTAACCTAACTGATTCCTATACGCACCACCACACATTTATCCATAAGTCATATCTAACATTTACCATCCAGAATACAACTATGAGCCAGAAAGCAAACAAACAAAAAATCTTGCTAGCAAAACTGTCACAAAGTTCTTGCACTAAAATTCGGTCATACTTTATTCACAAGAGAAAACAGGCTATTTAATGTCTCCTTATTCTTTTCATTCAAAAACAGTAATTCCACAGTTATCTGGTTTTCTTGCACAGTAAAAGCAGTAAGTTGGAGGAGATGGCTATGTAGGGGGAACTATTAAAGTAGAGTGACAGATTTTTCACAGCAGAAAAAAAAGAAGGTTGGCAATTTGGCAATAAGTGAGAAAGGAGAAAGCCTGTTAAAAAAAAAAAAAAAAGATACAAGAACTCGAAAGTAAAGCCAAGTAAGAATGTTTTGCACCAGTATATAGTCCTCAGTTTATTACAACCTGACATTGTTCTTCAGAATGCACTACCAAAGTCATCCAAAAAACTTCAAATTATAGTTATACTATACTAAGGAAGGCAAGGCAGTGTATAATACATTTTGGAATCACGCAAGTATCAGTTAAAAATGTGAAGTATGACATCTAAGTTTCAGTGGTATTAGAAATTCACTTCCACAGAACTCTTTTATAACATCTTATTCCCTAGCAATACCACAGAAATGTAGTTCAACATATTGATGGCCTATAAAAACTTGGGTATTTAATCTTCAAAGATACAAACTTGCCCCATGACCTAAATAGGTCACCGAACTCCTCATGGAAATCAGTTTCCTAATCTTTAAAATGAGGACCTTGGCCTAGATGTTTTGGAAAGTCCATTGTAGCCTTAATATTTTATATGTAATCCCAAAAGAGTTAGTAAAAGACGAACTCCCCTCTCTAGAGGCAATGTACAGTATAAGAGTATGACCCAGGGACTGGAAATAAAGGACCATATGTTTCTAGGCTATAACTTTCATGACCATATTCTAACCATACAAAAGTAGATAAAATAAGAAAAGTACCTTCACATATTTCTTAATCCAAATTTGCTTGAGAAAACATTACAGTTTTTCTTAGTTTTTTCCAGGAACCAAGTATACACACACACACACATGCACACAAACTCACAGACAACTCTACCTAAGAATTAATTACATTGTATCTATAATTTTTTAAATTAAAAGAAATAAAATAAGACGTATATGTACTTTTCAAATATATTTGTCTTACCAGGTATTTCCTTTATGTGATTCAAACTATGAATAAGATGTTGACAACTTTCAGGTAATAAGACTGTTTGTTGATTTGGTTTAAAGACACCAGAAACTAATTTTGCCAACAGTTTATTAGAAGCCACTCCAGCACAGCCAGTGAGCCCCAACTGATTATACATGGCTTCCCGCATCTCTGCTGCAATCTGAGATCCAACAAGTAGTCTGATGTGCAAGACGTCAAGCAGGTTTATAGCTTTAAAAACAACAAATGTCATTCAAAGTCACAAGAAAAACCTTTTTCTTTTTCACAAAATAATTTTTAAAAGGTAGAGGGCTTAGTCTATATCCAACAACCACCACCACCACAACCACCACCATCATCACCTGGTATGGTTGTGATATTTGTCCCCTCCAAACCTCATGTTGTAATTTGATCCCCAGTGTTGGAGGTGGGGTCAAATGGGAGGTGTTGGGATCACAGGGGTGGATCCCTCATGAATAGATTAAAGCCCTCCCTCAGGGGTAAGTTTCTGACTGTATTAGTTCCAAAGACAGCTGGTTGTTAAAAGAGCCTGGCACCTCCCCCAGCCCTTGCTTCCTCTCTCACCATGTGATCTCTGCACACACTGGCTCCCTTTTGCCTTCCACCATGAGTGGAAACAGCCTGAGGCCCTCACCAGAGGCCTAACCTTGACTTTTCCAGCCACAAGAATCATGAACCAAATAAACCTTTTTTTCTTTATAAATTACCCAGTCTCAGGTATTCTGTTAAAGCAACACTAAATGGACTAAGAGATCACTGCCACCCTGTTATCCACTTGACTAATCTCTTTCATGCTTCATAGGAATACTGTAAACAAATTCAATAAGCAAATTCCAAGGGCCTGTGATAGTGACTGTGTAGTGGGAGTGCTTAATAATTAACACATTGTGAAAACTGATCTCATAAAAAAATTCCTACTGACATTGGCAAAACTTTTACTCATATTTACCCGTAAGTAGGCATAGAAGTATTATTATATAACAAGAAAGCTAACATTATACTTTAAAGATCTAAATCTTAACCACGCACTAGCAGTATATGCTGCTAGAAACAATCTCTGACCTGTACACAGTTTTAGAGCTCTTTTATGAAAAGTGTAAGAAAATTATATAAAAATAAATTTGCTTTAGGTGTAAAACAGTGTTGGAATGACATGAAACCATCCTAACCTCAAAGAGACTAACGCTAAAAGTATTTAGAGATGAAATGTCAGGATGTCTGCAATTTACTTCCAAATAGCTCATCAACCAACCAAGCAATCCATAGAGAGAACAAGAGAAAGCAAATGTGGCAAAACGATAACAACTGGTTTATCTACAAGAAAGGACATAATGGGCCAGGAGTAGTGGCTCATGCCTATAATCCCAGCACTTTGGGAGGCCAAGGCAAGCGGATCATCTGAGATTAGGAGTTCAAGACCAGCCTGGCCAACATGGTGAAACCCCGTCTCTACTAAAAATAAAAAAATTAGCCGGGTGTAGTGGCACATGCCTGTAGTCCCAGCTAGTCGGGAGGCTGAAGCAGGAGAATTGCTTGAACCCAGGAGGTGGAGGTTGCAGTGAGCCGAGATCACATCACTGCACTCCGGCCTGGGCGACAGAGTGAGACTCTGTCTCAAAAAAAAAAAAAAAAAAAGAAAAGACATAATGGGTATTTTTTGTACTATTCTGTCAACTTTTCTGTAGGTTTACAAAAAATTTTAATAAAATCTGTATGAAAGAGGAAGAATTAATCAATAATTCCACATTTCCCTTTTTGGGATATAAAACCTAGCTCTCTATAATGTACTCTAACCAATAAAATCCAAGTTTGCCTTAAAAATTATACAGAAATATATTTGAAATATTCTTGCTAGTTAGCCCTTTTAAGTTACAAATGAGCACAAGTACAAAAGATACAGGAAAAGCTCCATGTATTCTAGAAACTGTGGTTCTACTGCTTTTCTTCTGTGGAGAACTATTCTGTAGACCGATGTCTAGTTCTCAAAAAAGAGGATAAGAGGAAATGCATGGGGAGGCTTAAGAGCAAAAGGGTCAGACAAGTCTTACACAACAGCAGAGTACCTTGTCTTGTATGTGGTATGATAGGGGAGTCACCAGCAGAGTCATAAGATGTCTGAAAGCCTAATCAGATATTCACTGGTGCTTACTGCAGCTTATTTTCAAATGTAAATATCACTGGAAACACCATCAGTCATTCATATCTCAATATATGAAGGAGACAAACCATTCTGCTTTCTTGCTAACTTTGACAAAGATTATTTGAACAGATTAAATAGGAGCTTGGAGAAGATTCTAGCACATGGCAGATAGCCCTGGACAACATTCCAAAAGTGCTAACTTGGGAATTCAGAGAGCAACATGAGGGTCTCAGGGGAATCGAAGTGAACATGTAAAACACACATCAAAGGGGAATCGAAGGGAACATGTAAAAGACACATCAAAGGCAAATCTAGCCTACCTGAAAACTCTGCTTAGAGATTGTTTTAGAATAATAAAAAATTATTCCAAAAAGCATATTAAGAAGCCAACTCTTACAACTTAAGAATGACCTACAGAGGTATGGCTTTTTGTTTCCTTAAGAGATGGGATCTTGCTCTGTTGCCTAGGCTGGACTCAAACTCCTGGGTTCAAGCAATCTTCTCAGCTCAGTCTCCCAAACAGCTGGGACTACAGGGGCGCTCCACTGTGCCCAGCTGGGTATGGCTTTCTAAAATGGGAACCAATGCACTGTGTCAGACGAAAACTCTGCACAGATGAATGCTCTGTGCAGATGAACAGGAACAATGCTCTGTGCAAATGAAAAGTGCACAGAGCATTGAGCTACATGTCATCAAAATCTTAACACTTATTATGGAATAGCAGCACCTAATTTTAGCTGTCCTAGACAGATTACTGACTAAATATAACTATACCTCCAACAAAAGTCATGAATCTTTCAGAATCACACAGCGAACTCACTGAACATTAAGAAATGTATGTACTTTTGGTTAGTAGGTAGAATGAATAAGAACCCACTCACACTGATTATTGTATACATGACCCGACACAGTCACCGCAGAAAGTTCATCACTTTGCAGCTGCTGTAGTCTCTTCTCAACCATTTCTGTTAGATCCACAAAATTTTCATCAAATCCAAGTCTCTCAACAACTGGACTAAATTCTTCCAGTAATTCTAAATTGAAATAATATTGGAGCACAAATGTAAATGAAGTTATAACTAGGATAAATTTAACTATCTAGTGCTTAAAAATTTATCAAATTTATTGTTAAAGGTTTTATATACATTCATAGTTCCATAATATCTTTAATAAAGCCCTCAGTTAATTGACGTTTTTTCTGTACCACATCTTGTATAAAGGCAATATTTTCAAAAAAGTCTAAAAATGACATTCCTAGGGCAGTTATTCATGGCAATATATCTAGCTCAATCTTCTACACCTATAATTTTTATATCTGTAGTACATTAAATATCAATGCTTATAGTAAATTGGTGACCTTGAAGAAATGTGTCAAAGAATAAACTATAGGCTGCTCAGGAAAGTTAAAAACAAGTAATAGTATATTTTAGCTATATTTTCTCCAAGAGTTTAAAAGAGGCAAAACAAAATAATATTTAAAATGTCCAATTATTACTGAATAAAACAGAAAGTCAGTCAACTTTCAAAATATACTATAACGTGGTATTTTTATTAGCCATTCCCAAGAATATTCCTTAGGACAGAGAGGCAGAGATGAACCACAACTTACAGGTATTCAAATGCCCAGCGTCTAGCACAATATCTAGTCCTCAAGTCAAATGTTTACTAGATTAAGCTGAACCAAAATTCAAAATAAATTCAAAAAAACTATCAATTTTCATATATTAACATTGAGACTAATAACTTTAAAATCATTGAGAAAGTTTTTCACTTCCCTCTGAATCACTTTCTACTGACACCAGCTGGATAAGAGAAAACAAATGCAAGTCTCTTAGTATACAAAAATGCATAGATTCTTAAGGTCATATAATCTGAAGCTCAGAAATAAAAGGACTATCTCATTCCACATAGATCATGTTTTTTCACAAACACCAAAGGTGCTTTTTTGTTTTGTTGATGTCAACATTGACAATGTGAGGGGAAACCAATAAAGGTAACAATGTGACATGGCAAACACCAAAAATCACTCCTGAGAAAACTATTACCTAGAGAAAACTATTACCTCCTTTCAGGACAGACTGACAATATGTCTAATCAAAGAAAATGATTGTTTTGCATTTCCTTCATCAATTTCGGCAATTTATTTTCAAAAGTATATACCTGATATGCAAAGTAACATGTAGAAAACAAGAGTTTATCAAAAGAATACTACATAAGAAAAATAAAGGATAAGGCTTTAAGCACTAAATAGAAAAGCAAGTTAAATACAGAATCATGCACGAAGCTGGTGGATCACTAAATATTGACTGATTTTAGGTCACAGGACAAATCCCTAATTATCCCGTCCCTGAAGGTTTTTGTTGTTGCTGTAGTTTTAATGAGACAGGGTCTCACTGTTGCCCAGGCTGGAGTGGAGTAGCACACCACAGCTCAGTACAGCCTTGACCTCCTGGGCCCAAGCAATCCTCCTACCTCGGCCTCTGGGACTGCAGGCACATGCTACCAGCTAACTTTTTTTTTTTTTAACTTTTGTAGAGACAGGGTCTTGCTATGTTATATTGCCCAGACTGACCTCAAATGATACCCCACCACAGCCTCCCAAAGTGTTGGGATTACAGGCATAAGCCACCATGCCCAGCCTCCATTCCTGAAGTTAACCTCTTTCTTGGTATCAACTTCATAAGCAAGATACATTTATTAAACATATAATTATATAGGGCCCAAAAGAGGAGTCTGTAATTACAGAAAAAAAAAATACCTTGAAGAAAGGTATATATGCAGTAGCATCAAAATATGAAATAAATAATAAGGTTATAAACAGATCAGAGATAAATACAGTAAAGGACTAACTGGCTACGCGCCTACTTCAACTCAGAAAAATACTGTGAGAAAAATTGATAAAGTAACTTTTTTCAAAAAATACCTAACACAAAAAGTACTAGGTACTTAGTACTTAGAAAAAGATGAACAACCCAAATTAAAAACAGGTGCAAGTGAATACGTTAACAGAAAAAAATACATAAATGACCAAAAATATATGAAAAAATACTCAACCTTACTCATGGAAAACTGCAAATCAAAACAATGATTTACTCTTCTTCATCTATATGATGAATATGAGAGGAGGCATTTAGGCCATAATTTTACACATTTGGAAAAACATGATACATGACTTTGTACCTTGCCTTTTATTCACTCAACAAGCCCTATCTCCATCAGTCAAATAGTATTGCACCAATGAATTCTTTTTAATGGCTATATAATATCCATTATACAGATGTTTTAGTTTATTTGGCTATTTCTCTTGATGGGCATTTTTCCTTCCATACTTTTGACAATCATAAACCATGCTATGATAAACATTGTTGTACATATGTCTTTATGTACTTGTGGTTCTCTTTCTTTTTTAGAGACAAGAGTCTCACTCTGTCATGCGCACTCAGGCTGCAATGCAATGACACAATCACGGCTCACAGCCTCGAGCTTCTAGGCTCAAGCAATCCTCCTACCTCAGCTCCAAAAGTGCTGGGATTACAGGTATGAGCCACAATACCCAGCCTTATGATTTTATTTCTATTTGATAAACTCCCAGCAATGATATCACTGGATTGAAGAACATTCATCTTTAAACTCAGTAAGTGTTCTTGATACTTTTTTCTCACATTGCTTTTAATTTTGGGCAAGTATGACAGATATAAAATATCTTACTAATTCAAATTTCCTTGGCCACTAATGAATTTGAGCATTTTTTCCCTATAATTGTTAGACACTGGGTTAGGCTCTTCTTGTCAACTGCCTATTCATATCCTTTGTCCTTTGTTATTAGGTTTATTTTTCCTGTTAATTTCTAAGAGGTCTTTGTATATTATAGACATTTAATCCAGTCATCTGAAAATTGCTATCATAAAAGAAAAACAAAAAAAGTAAAAAAGACAAATAATTGCAAAGCTGATCATTATACATTTTTACACTATATATTAAGTAATTGCGGTTTTCGCAATTAAAAGTAATTGTGAAAGCCACAATTACTTTTGCATCAACCTACTATATTTGCAATGTGCCAGTGCACACTCATTTTCATTTTTCCTGTAATTTACTATAACACTAAGATTTAAACCCAAACCTTAGCATAGGAAAGTTTAGCTACATTGTAATATTTAGTATATATATAAAACCTAAGAAAATATTAATATATCCAATATTTTTATTAATATTTCATAAGAAATCAGTTTTTAATTATGTTGATCAAATGTTACAGAAGCCTCTTTCAATTATCATTAGTGCATTAGAAAACAACATATTTCTTCGTAATTCATTTAAACTTAAAATTTTAAAGACCTGGCATCTTTTACAGTACAGTTTCCCATTTTCTCACTTTTAAACTTTGTTTTCCACTTTTCCCTGTTATATAAACATCAATAATAAGAGTTAAAATTACTTCCAACTATACATCTTCTTAAAAATACTATTCATAGCATACAGTTATCCTTTCACATAATTTTTAAAGTTGACAAGACCCAAAATAAGAAGTTATTAGGAAAAAGCATCTTGACTTATGTTATTTTACATTTATTAAAAAATTCATGTAATGAACAGGCATCCTACATAAAAATTAATGCTAAAAGTACATTGCTTATCATTTGTACCTGTAACCTTATAAGACATTTCTCTGTAGCGGGTCAGGTCTTCTCCATTAACTAATACCAACTGTGGACACTTTTCTTTTGCATCTCTGACATTCATAAGTTTCTTAACTCCAAGTTTCCTAGCTTCATAGTTGCAGGTAACCACCAAATATTTCTGTTGAACCCCTGTAAAAAATATTTTATGAGAAACCCAAGCACAATTGAAGAAAACATTTAAAGATATTATTAATTCCGTATTACATTTGTCTAAATTGTAAGACAATCAGTTTTGATAAGAATCAAAAGCCCTGTCTCAATTAAAAAACATAGCCTCCATATATCAAATCTCTATAATGCAGAAACATTAGGTTTTCAAGCTATCTCCTAATTATGAATTATAATATACCAATGTATTATTTTTCCATACCCCACTTTTAATCTCTAGTTGTTTTGTCTCCTTGAAGAAGGAAAGTTATTATTAAATAACAAAACACTGAATAACACAGAATTAAAAGTTAGACGATAGATCAATTATTCATATACAAAAGGCAATCTATGTATTACATTTCTAAAATTTAAAAATGAACCTAAATCAATATATTCTATGGAATCTTCAGTGATAAGATACAAATCAAATCTCTCTAGGATTTTTTTCCAGACAATATAAAAGCAGATTAATTTATACTGCCATATAATAGGGCATGTTCTACCAAAAAAAAAAAAAACGGATGAAAATAATTGAGTACAACTAAATACTGGTTGCTGCTAGAAAAACTCAACTTCTCTTCTCCGTAACTTGCTAATATAAAGCAATATAAAATATAATATGTATATAAAATATATAAAACAAGTGCTGGGCTACAGCAATTTTTAGGGATCTAACAGTTATGTACTACTTATTGAACTGTTCTATCAAAAATGATTAAATTATGATCATTTATTTACAGACTGCATAAAAAATTCTAGTTTATTGGTGACTCAAGATTGCTAAAAATTATTTGCTCTTTTTTTATACAAGTTGACTACTTGCTTACCACTGTAAGAGTAATGTTCACCTAAAATATGTAAAATACAAACATGTAGAAAAAAAAGGTTATGTCCACTTCTCTATTAGACATTGTTTCTAAAATTTTGATATCATAAACAACATTATTTTTATATAAAGTTTTTTCATATATCAGGTAATGCCCAAAAATATAATCATGGAACCAAAGGTAATAATAATTTGAGATTCCTCAGTGAACTACATAAAAAATCAGATTGCTAGATTTCTTAACTAAAAAAAGGAGTCCTTTAATAGAGCATTACATTATATGGCCTCATCACTGCATGTCACTACTGGTCGGGCACGGTGGCTCACGTCTGTAGTCCCCGCACTTTGGGAGGCCAAGGCAGGTGGATCGCCTGAATTCAAGCATACGAGACCACCCAGGGCAACATGGTGAAACCGTCTCTACTAAAAATACAAAAAAATTAACCGAGTATGGTGGCGCACACCTCTAGTCCCAGCTACTTGGAAGGCTGAGGCAGGAGAATCACCTGAGCCCCAGAGGCAAAGCTTGCAGTAAGCCAAGATCGCACCACTGCACTGCAGCTTGGGCTACAGAGTGAGACCCCTTCTCAACAACAACAACAAAAACAAAATGAAAGACTACTTTCGTTTTCCCCCAAAAACATGGAGCATTCATATCCCTCACTTCCCAATAATCATTCATTCGTACTTAATTACAGTTTTTTTATTAAGCATTATCTACAGAACATCTTATAACACAGTGCTACTACTCAGAAATGCCTTCAGGAGAAAAAACTTAGGTCCCCTGATTCTAACTCCTTGGCACCCTTAGAAAAGTTTTAAGATCCTAGACTCACCTTGGCGTAGCAAAAACTAGTCATCCCTTTGTTCTTCAGTAAATCAGCTAGGCTGGATTGGGATTTATTAAGCCAAAGTGGGCACAAGAGGGTAGCAGCAAGTGAACCAAAAATGTTCTTTATGCTTACACTAAAAGAGGAATCTTTCCTGCATGCATGAAAGAAAATCTCTTTATCTTTCTCAATTTAAAATATGAATAATAAAAATGATAAAACAAGCTAGCATATCAACAAATATCCAATATAAAATTTATTTTGGCTTTTATTTAAAAAGATGCTTATGTTTTTACGGCAAGTTTGCTGTCTTAATAATACTTAGGTTTATGTTCAAAATCCAACTAGTTAGTTAGATGTTACACAATTTAAGAGATAATTTCAGAAAGGGGAGGACAGACGAACACTTCCACTAAAATGTAATAAGAGGCTGTTTTTGAGAACAAAGCCTGTAAAATTTCAAATAGTGAGAAAAAGAAATCTGACCAGCAAACTAAGCTACTAACCAGCACAGAAAAGTAACATTTATTCTGCTTTCTCTTCATTTGTTCTGCCGACTACACTATTCTCAGATTCACCACTTATTAAATGAGGCTTGTAAAATTTACACTTGGTAGTGAAGCAAAAATGACCAGCTATAAAGCACTGTAAGAACTGCTTCCAAAATCTTTCTTAATAAGGTTAATAAATCAGTATATAATGAGCATGATGAGTTGCTAATCTAATCATTATGCAATTAAAAATATTATAAATCTACAGTTACCTAAAGGTTTGTCTTTTAGCTCTGGATTTGAGATCATTTCTACTTGTGCATAAAAGCAATCCAGATCCACATGTACTATGACTCTGGATGAAGCATTTGGTGTGGGCAACACTTGATCATGAACTCCTGCACAATATGCAAAGAAATAAAAAGAAATTCAGGCTGCTTATTATCTCTGAGCAACTGACAGTTCCTTAAAACATGGTACCTGTGAAGGAAGAATGCAGAGTGACGTGTTTTCTCCTGGATTATGTGTGAAAGCATCGAAAAATTACAAAGACATGAAACTCCACTTAGGGTAGGGTCTTCAGTCCTCTTAATTACTGTTTGTGCACTGCGTTTTTCTCAGGATAGTAATAAGTTTGAAGGGAAAAAATGTGATAAATAATGGATGATGAAAGAGCTAATACTATCACCTGGAAGTTTATAGTAGCTCTTAGTGTAAACCAGAAGGGGCAGAAAAGTTGAAATGACGTTGATTTTCACACAGCTTGAAAATTATTCTAAGCAGCATGCCCTTACATTTAAAACAAACAAACCAACAAAAACTGAAATACAAAATGGCAAAAGACAACCAGTGGGTACAAGTGTGGGCTATTTTTAGCTCCCATGGCAGCAGGATTATCTGGTTTAATGCTAAATCGCCAGTGCCTAAAACAGTGTCTAGGACATAACAGACCACCAATAAATATTCACTAAATTGAAAGACTGAATAGTTCTTTGATTTTAAAAAGTTGTTAGGTCATTATTTGTCGGGGAGGGAATGACAGAGGCGACTCCTTCTCTCAACACTGGCTAAAAACAAGACAGGCAAAATACAATACAATATTCTGGTTGGGATCCTGGAACAGAAAATGAACGTTAGCAGAAAAACTGGTAGAATATTAATAAAGCGTGTAGTTCAATTAATAGTATTATACCAATGTTAATTTCCTAGTTTTGACAAATGTACTGAGTTTATGTTAACACTAGGGGGATCTAGCTCTGCAACTTTCAGGTAAACCTAAAGTTCCAAAATTTAAAAGGCCAGGCACGATGGCTAACTACTGTAATCCCAATACTTTTCGAAGCTGAGGTGGAAGGATCGCTTGTGGCTGGAGTTTGAGACCAGCCTGGACAACACAGCTACACCTGATCTAAAAAAATCTGAAAATCAGCCAGGTGTGGTGGCACGTGCCTGCTGTCCCAGCTACTCGGGACGGAGAGGCTGGGGCGGAGGATCACTTGAGCCCAGGGGTTCGAGGCTGCAGGGAGACCTTGTCTCTAAATTAATGAATGAAACAAAACCAGCAGGAAATGAGAACCGGTGCCTTTACATCCAGGCCCTGAGGTGGGCGGTACAAGGTAAAGACCAGAGCTGGAAGTGGGTCACCGGAGACGTGACCACAGCGGACCTGACTCCGCCTAGGTTCTGAGCCATCCCTTCCTGCCAGGACTGAGATCCGGGTCCCACCTTCTGCCAAATGAGCGACAAGGTCCTCAACTTCTCCAAAGTTAAAAGGCCCAGAAGCCTCTGCAGTTTTCGTCGGGCTGGCTGAGGGATTCCCGCCCCACCTCGCCCCTCACAGAGGAAAGGACGGCGCAGATAAACCCTCGACACGTATTTGTAGTGTGGACGCGCCCCACCCTACTCCTGCTGGGTGAAGCCATTCCTCTAGAGGTACCCGCCGCGTAACACAAGGCAGAGGGAGGCAGCCCTCTCTTAGAGGAGCCGAGTGGGGCGGGGACGGTCGCGCCCCAGTGGCCGCCGCCCCGAGCGTCCGCCTGCCCCACCCTTCTCATTTACACCCAAGGAGGCCGCTGGCTCCTCTGGCTGCGGCGCACCCTGCGAGCTGGCTGCCGCCCCCACGTCCGCCAGTTCCATGGCCCAGGCCTCGGCGTCTTCCTCGTCGTCGTCGCCGCCGCCTTCCTCCTCCGGCTCCACCCCCAGCTTCTCCATCCCGCCGCTGCCAACCGCAGCGCTACTTCCGGCCGCTTCCGCCTGGTCTCCAGGGAAACCGGGGGACTACAGTCTCCAGTCGCTCTGTGCCTCTCGCCTGCGCAGTCGTGGCCGACCAGCCTGTTGCCCAGAGTGACACGCATGCCAAGGAATCGTGGAGGCCCACGTGCGGGAGTTTTTTCCCGCCGGGTGGAGGCCGGAAGCGGAGAGATTGAAAGCACAAATGGCTATTTTTTTTTTTTTTGAGACGGAGTTTCGTTCTTGTTGCTCAGGCTGGAGTGGGCAACAGTGACGCAATACCGGCTCACTGCAACCTCTGCCTCCCGGATTCAAGCGATTCTCCTGCCTCAGCCTCCCAAGTAGCTGGGATTAACAGGCATGCGCCATCACGCCCAGCTAATTTTTTTGTATTTAGTAGAGACGAGGTTTCACCATGTTGGTCAGGCTGGTTTCGAACTCCTGTCCTCAGGTGATCCACCCTCCTAGGCCTCCCAAAGTGTTGAGATCACAGGCATGAGCCACTGCGCCTGGCCTTTTTTTTTTTTTCTTGAAGGCTTTGGAGTTAGGCCCACATCACAAATTTTAGCGTTTTGTCTTTGTTCCATTCGGCTGTTAGCAAACTTGCAAATCCCTAGACCTGAGTGATTAATGTGATGGGGTGGGAAGGAGTGTAACTGATAGTAAAGACACAGGTGGCCTTGTAAACTCATATGATTAGCAACTATGTTAAGGTTTGCTGTGTTTTGTTTGTTGTTGTTTTATTTAAAGACACTGTGACGAATTCAACCACAGAATTTTTAACATCAAAACTGAATAGGATTTGATACATGAGTGTTGTAGTCAGACAAAATCTCCAATCCAGACCCTCCATCATGCTGTGTGACTTTGGGCAGGTTACATAACTGCTGTGAGCCTCAGTTGCTCTACTCTTAAAAAAAAAAAAAAGTATTGAGATTGAATGAATGGATAAAAGCTACCATATACTGTAATATCCTAATGTATATAAAACATGTGGCACATAGGAAGTGCTCAGTAAATGTCTATTCTCCTTGCCTTCTATTAGGATACCATGTGTGCATGTGTGTGTTGGTGTGTGTATGTGTATGTTTTACAATAGAGGAAATTTGGAAATTCCTCCATGCCTGTATGTATGTATATACACTATATCTGTATAAATACCCAAATTAACACATATGTTTGGTTTTTTATATGATTCTACTTCTTATCAAATAAAATATTAGAACCTTGAGAAACCCTTTAAAGCAGCCATTCCCAACCTTTTTGGCACCAGGGGCTGGTTTCATGGAAGACAATTTTTCCACAGACAGAAGGGAGGGGGATGGTTTTGGGATGATCCAAGTGCGTTACATTTGTTGTGCACTTTATTTCTATTATTATTACATTTTAATAGATAATGAGGTAGAATCAGTGGGAGCCCTGAGCGTGTTTTCCTGCAACTAGACTGTCCCATCTGGGGTGATGGGAGATAGTGATAGATCATCAGGCATTAGATTCTCATAAGAAGCATGCAACCTAGATCCCTCGCATGCGAGTTCACAGTAGCGTTCAGGCTCCTGTGAGAATCTAATGCCGCTGCTGATCTGACAAGAAGCAGTGCTCAGGCAGTCATGCCAGTAGTGGAGAGTGGCTGTGAATACAGATGAAGCTGCACTCCCGGGCCCGCTACTCACCTCCTGCTATGCGGCATGGTTCTTAACAGGCCAGGGACTGGTTCTGGTCCATGGCCTGGGGACTGGGGACCCCTGCTTTAAAGGATATGTTGATGCATCCATGAAGAAAAGGGAATAACAAGCAGAGCTGGGTCTCAGTGGTTTGGAAACAAAATCTTCCTCTTTGCATATTTAATTCTTAGATGTCTGGACCAGTTCTTTCAAAGTCTGCTATCTAGGTTATAAATTACCTGTTCAGAGAGCTAGGCTGCTATCTTTGTGAAAGCTGTTTGATAAGTCTAGATAGTTGTTTGGTGGTTTTTCATTTTATTTAGTTATTTATTTATTTATTTTGAGACAGAGTCTCAGTCTGTCTCCCAGGTTGGAGTGCAGTGGTGCGATCTGGGCTCACTGCAACCTCTGCCTCCTGGGTTCAAACAATTCTCCTGCCTCAGCCACCTGAGTAGCTGTGATTACAGGCGTGTGCCACCATACCCAGCTAATTTTTGTATTTTCAGTAGAGACAGGGTTTCACCATGTTGGCCAGGCTGGTTTCCAACTCCTGACCTCAAGTGATCCGCCCGCCTTGGCCTCCCAAAGTGTTAGGACTACAGGCATGAGCCACCGCGACCCAGCCTACATAGAGAGCTTTTGAATTGAGTGTCTCTTTGTCCACTAAGTGCTTCTTGGACAACATTCAGTGGTCTGATTACTAATAGACAACCAAAGTTTGTTTTTCTTTTCATTCTTCCAGATAGAAAATGATATAAACACTAAAATACTATGGCAGATGAAAACGGTCTCTCTAGAAGAGCCCTAGGCTCACTAACATTCAACATGTTGCTTAAGTGAGACAGTGTTAAAAAACAATGCACGTAATCAAGCCCTCTTTAGTTAGTTGCATTTATTTCCCCATCCGTTGTTTAATTTGAAGAGTGGCTTTTAATTTCGTGAAAGGATAGAAAAGTAGACCCTTGGAAATCCTAGGGGAGCAAGCAGGGCTGGCTTGATGAGTATGTGACGTAGGCAGTCACATAGGGCTCAACACTTGATTTCATATTCTGCTCTTGTCTTGAAATTCTTAATTTTTTAACAAGGAAGCCCCATATTTTCATTTTGCCCTGGACCCCAGAAAGTATTTAGCAAGTGCTGGAAATAAAGAAGAGAAGCAGCACTAAAAAGGACACTCATAAAACACCTGTATATCAAGCACAGGGCTAAAAGCTTGAAACAGGTCATTTCATTCAATATAATAGCCCTAGAGGGTAGATGTCAGCATCCTCATTTTACCAAAGATGAAATAGCCTAGGAGAGATTAACATGCTTGCTCAAGGCTATGAATCTAGTAATGGCAGATCCACTTTTCAGAATTTTCCACAGTGAAGAATTCATTAATAATGTTTTCTCCATATAGGAAATCAATTAGCTCTGACCATTTTCCTCACTGCTTCAAACACCAGACGGCTGGTAGTGGGGAGAATAAACATCCCTCAAAGGTATTAAGAGGCACGAAAATAAAATTTATATAAGCTAACGTGTCTCATTGTTTTGGAATGTTTTAGGAAAAAAGGATTTTGGGGTTTGATTCTAAAAATCCCTACTCCCAGTTTTAATTAATAGGATCTAATCTAGAATAACTTCAGGAAATAGCTGTCTTGAGCTTGGGTCATAACTGTATATTTAAGTGCCAAATGAAGAAAACAATTTCAAGGCAGAATAGACATAGTTAATTAAATAATATTATGGTCAAACAAAATTTATGGAGGAGCATGGATTTACAGAGCGTGGCTAGTGGATAAAGAAGCTGGAGGCATTTTAGAGCTTCAGAAGTCAAGACATGCCAACACGGTGGCTCACATCTGTAATCCCAGCTACTCAGGAGGCTGAGGCAGGAGGATTGCTTGAAGCCAGGAGTTTGAAGCTTCAGTCATGTATGATTATGCCACTGCACTCCAGCCTGGGCAACAGAGCGAGACTCCATCTCCAAAAAGAAACAAAGAAAGAAAGTCAGCACATTATGAACTTAAATACATTTAAAAGGATAAGCATGAACTCCCATGTCAGTGGAGGGTAGGAAATAGGCATCAGTGGTTACTTCTCTCCTCTTAGCCAAATTGGCCACATATGGCTCAGAGGAAGAACACTAGACAATGTTCAAGGTATTTCATATGAAGAATGTGAGGGTGTTTGTGTCTGTATTTTATGTTGGTGGGTGGCTAAGTGGGTAGAGTTGACCATGGAGTTAAAGGAGCAATTTGAATTGGCAAAGGCACAGAGGATTTGATTTTGTGAGGTCTTTGGCCTAACGCAATCGTTCTCAAGCAAGCTGATTTTGTTCCCTAGTGAATATTTGGCAGTGTCTGGAGATATTTTAGGTGGTCACATCTCTGTGTTGGAGCTCTGTGCTACTGGCATCTAATGGGTAGGGGCCAGGGATATTGCTGAACATCCTGCAGTGCAAAGACAAACCTTTATGACAAAGAATTATTCATCCCAAAGTGTCAATTGGTCCGTGGTTGGGATACCAGTAGTGTCTACACCACCTTGCTCCCAACTAGCCTCTTCAGATTAGGGTCTCCAGTTGTAATGAAGAATTGGTCTTCAGTTACGTGCTTTTAATTATAGATAGGACCAGGTTTGGTGGCTCATGCCTGTAATCCCAACACTTTGTGAGGCCAAGGCAGGAGAATGGCTTGAGCCCAGGAGTTTCAGACCAGCATAGTGAGACTTCGTCTCTAAAAAAAAGTAATAAAAAAAAAAATTAACCAGGCCTGGTGGGACATGGCTGTAATCCCAACTACTAGGGAGGCTGAGGTGGGAGGAATGCTTGAGCCTGGGAGGTTGAGGCTGCAGTGAGCTGTGATTGTACCACTGCACTCCAGCCTGGGCAACAGAGTGAGACTCTGTCTCAAAAAAAAAAAGAAACACACACACACACAAAAGAAAAGAAAAGAAAAGAAAAAAGGGTATAAAAGATGAAAATAAGTATTATTTAGTTGCTTCTCACTGTGGGAATTTACATTCTGATACTAAAAAACAAATGGTATGCATTTGCTGGAAAAGAAATTTAAGAAAAATATCCACGGCTTGGCGTGGTGGCTCACACCTACAATCCCAGCACTTTGGGAGGCCAAGGTGGGCTGATCACTTGAGGTCAGGAGTTCAGGACCAGCCTTGCCAACACAGTGAAACCCCATCTCTACTATAAATCCAAAAATTAGCTGGGCATGGCCCATAATACCAGCTACTCAGGAGGCTGAGGCAGCAGAATCACTTGAACCCGGGAGGTGGAAGTTGGCAGTGAGCAGAGATCCTGCCACTGTACTCCAGCCTGAGCGACAGAGACTAGGTCTCAAAAAAAAAAAAAAAAGAAAAGAAAAGAAAAGAAAAAGAAAAAGAAAAAATATCCACACTTTTATGGAGCTTATGAATTGCCCCTAGGGTGAAAAGCTAATGAGTCAGGAATAATTTGAAAAGCGAAGAGACTAAAACCAGAAAACACAGGCTTCAAAAGGTTAAAAGCAAACTATAATTATGCTATGCTGGCTGTAGTACAATGTACATGTCCTGCGGTATTTACTTACCTTTCATCCATGGGTCTCAAACCTTTTGCATGAACATTTCAAGTGTCCAAAGAAACCTTTTTTTTTTTTCCACCATCACATTGCACACCATAGCTGCAGATTGCAGTTTCAGGTTTACTCTGTGTAACCTAAAAGTATCTGCTGCACACCATGTGATTGGGGCTAAAAGAAGGTGTAAGAGACTGGAGTTTTTCTAACAGTCATCTTCTTGCTCTGACTTTTCTTTGTGGTGCTGTAAAAGTCTGATGAAAAGCCTGCATAGTCATTTCAGTAATGATATTTTAAATGTTGTTTGCCAGGGTGTGTGCTTAATGGACCTAGCCTCATCATTTTGGATGGAGAGAGGTGCAGACCAATATGATCACAATACAAGTCATTTGGTCCTAGTTTGTAAATAAAGTCTGCAAGGTTCAGCCATTGACAGAAAGAAACTACGTGGTGTCACGTAGAAGGTACAAGCAGATCAGTAGAGATCAGGTATACTGTTTTAAGTTTATAGACATTTAACTTTAATGAAACATTTTGTAAAGTACCTCTTTTTCTGATTGCAAAAGTAATACATTATTATTATAGAGAATTTGAAAAACATAGGACTTAAGAAAATGATGGAAATAATCTGTAATAATCCATAATCTTGATGCTCAGAAAACCATGCTTTAATCATTTTTTCACAAAGCATGACAAAAAGAAAGTTGCGGTTTTTTTTTTTTTTTTTTCCCGAGACAGAGTCTCACTCTGTCACGCAGGCTGGAGTGCAGTGGCACGATCTTGGCTCACTGCAACCTCCACCTCCCAGGTTTAAGCAATTCTCCTGCCTCAGCCTCCCAAGTAGCTGGGATTACAGGTGTGCACCACCATGCCCCACTAATTTTCTGTATTTTCCATGAATAAATTTGTGTATTTATTTACCAAACCACGAAAACCACTGTAAGATGCATTGCCTAAATAAATGACACAGAAAACGTTCTATCCATGTATTTGTTTTTAATGTTAATTCGAAGAACATGAATAAAGACAGTCTCAACTTCATCTTGGAAATGCTAACAAATTCAACTTAATAATCTCCATTTTTCTGGTTTGAGATTAATATAAACTCTCTATAAAGAAAAGTAATGCTTATATTTATAGGACTTTTTCTTACTGTTGCTTCAAAGACTTCATTGAAGTACTTATTGATCCTAAAATTACTGCTTCTGTGTCTACTTAAAAATTTTTTTTCTTCATATCCATTGTTTAAGAAATCTTACTAAAACAAAAAGGTATAAACCATAAAGTTAAAATCCTTCCTAATCCCCACTCCACCTTGAGGTGACCATTGCTAACAAAATTTGATACATTTAGGCTTTTATTTATAATATTCTTAGTATAAGGAAGACACAATGAAAAATATTCTAATTCACATGAGTGGGATCACACTATGTATACTATTTGCATTAGACTTTTTTACCTAGTATATCTTGAACACCATTTCCTTTCAGTGCACAAAAATGTACTGCATTCTTTTTAATGGCTACATTGTTTCACCAATTCCATAATCATGGACACTTATTTCTGATTTTTTGCTGTTACCAGTAATGCTGCAGTGAACATTCTTGTTCATATACCTTTGTGCCCTTCTTCATGGGTTTGATCCCACCCTTCCCTAAGACACATCCAATCTCCTAAAATTCTAGAATAATGTTATATTTTCCAAATTCTCCATCATAATCATGGATTACTTTTTCAATTAAAAAAATGAGGTACTGGCTGGATGCAGTGGCTCACACCTGTAATCCTACCATTTGGGGAGGCCAAGAAAGGAGGATTGCTTGAGTGCAGGAGTTCAAGGCCAGCCTGGGCAACATAACAAAATCCCATCTCTACAAAACTTTAAAAATTAGCCAAGCATGATGGTGTGTGCCTGTAGTCCCAGCTCCTGAGGAGTCTGAGGTGGGAGGATTGCTTGAGCCTAGGAGGTCCAGACTACAGTGAGCTATGATCACGCCACTGCACTCCAAACTAGGCAACAGAGGGACATTGTTTTCCAAAAACAAACAAAAAATGAGGTACTTAAAAAATTACATTAAAGTTAGATGTCTATAAATTTAACACAGTGTGCCTGATCTATGTTAATCTGCTTGCACTTTCTGTATTACATCAAGTAGTTCCCTTTCTCTCAATGACTGAAACTTGCAGACTTTATTTACAAGCACATTATGACACATGAGGCCTGTCGGGTCTACCTCCAAATGTTCTCTCAAATCCCTCTACTTCTCTGTGTCTGTACTGACACTACCCCCACCCCCGCGCCCCAGCCCACATACATACAGTTATCTCTGGTTTGGCCTGCTGTACTGGGCTCCTAGTATCTGCTTTTTACAATCTGTGAGCCTTAGGACAGCCAGAATAATATTTTAAAAATGTAATATCTAATTTCCTTTTCCTGCCAAAAATCCTTCAAAGGCTTCCTACAATACCTAAAGTAAAAATCAAACCCTTTACTCGCCATGGTCCTCAAGGCCCTGATGGAGCAGGCTCCATCTCTTCTCTACTTCTCATAGCAAGTGACCATCTTTTCCTACACTTGGGCTACTCTAGCCCCTTTTTTTTTCCTTTTTTTCTTTTTTTTTTTTTTTGAGATGGAGTCTTGCTCTGTAGCCCAGCTAGAGTGCAGTGGCACGATCTTGGTTCACTGAAACCCATGCCACCTGGGTTCATGTGATTCTCCTACCTCAGCCTCCCAAAGAGCTGGGATTACAGGCGTGCACCACTATGCTTGGCTAATTTTTGTATTTTTAGTACAGATGGTGTTTCACCATGTTGGCCAGGCTGGTCTCGAACTCCTGACATCAGGTGATCTGCCTGCCTCAGCCTCCCAAAGTGCTAGGATTACAGGCGTCAGCCACCACGCCCAGCCTCTAGCCCCTTTTCTATTCTGGCGACACATATTAGTTGTGGGTTGGATACCCAGAGGCCCAGGAGAGCCAGTGGTATAGTTCTAGTCTGAACCAGAAGGCCTGAGAACCAGGAAAGCTGATGATGTAAGTTCCAGCCCAAGCCTAAAACATCAGGTGAAGACTGATGTCCCAGCTCAAAGACAGTCAGATAGAGGGTGCAAATTCTCCCTAACTCAACCTTTTTGTTCTATTCAGGTTTTCAATGGATTGGACGACGCCCATCCACCGTGGGGAGGGAAAACTGTTCTACTCCATCTGCTGATTCAAATTTTAAGCTCATCTACAAACACTTCAAAGATACTCCCAGAATAATGTTTAACCAAATATCTGGGTCCACCATGACCTAGTCAAGTTGATACATGAATTAACCATCACAGGACAATTTTCTGCCTCCAAATCATTCTGAAGTTTGGAACGTTTTTCACAGAACTGGTTTGTTCTCTTTTTTGAGTTCTCTGTTCAAATGTCAACACCTCAGACTGACCTTTCCAAACTGCACTGACTCAGAAGGCCTCCCCCAGAGTTACCACATTCTCTCATATCTTACTGAGTTTCGTTTATAACACTTATCCCAATATGTAATTATCTTATTTACATCTTACTTGTTTTTAATGTCTCTCTCTCCTATTAGAACATATTAGGGTGGAAAACGTGTATGCCTTGTACTTTAATAGAATCCACCAAAAATATACTTGCGGTAAATAAATATTATTTATTTCTTTTTTTTTTTTTTTTCAGATGGAGTCTCATTCTGTCGCCCACGCTGGAGTGCAGTGGTGTAATCTCTGCTCACTGCAACCTCCACGTCCTGGGTTCAAGCAATTCTCCTGCCTCAGCCTCCCCAGTAGCTGGGATTACAGGCACATAACACCATGCCTGGATAGTTTTTTGTATTTTTTTAGTAGAGACCGGGTTTCACCATGCTGGCCAGGCAGGTCTCGAACTCCTGACCTTGTGATCCGCCTGCCTCGGCCTCCCAAAGTGCTGGGATTACAGGTGTGAGCCACCCCGCCTGGCCAACAAATATTATTTCAACATCAGTGGAAAAATTGACACCTGAATGATGTCAGATTTAAAAGACTGTTATAAACAAATTTTCCTTACCAAATTCCAAACACTATATGTAGATAAGCCCTCCTGTAGGAAGGCTAATCTCCCCCTTTCCTAATCTCCCCCTTTTTGCTGGTGGGCTAGACATAGTGACTGGTTGCTGAAGAATAGAGTGTAGAAGGAGAGGAATATGCTGGGTGCAGTGGCTCACGCCTGTAATCCCAACACTTTGGGAGGCCGAGGTGGGTGGATCACCTGAGGTCGGGAGTTTAAGACCAGCCTGACCAACATGGAGAAACCCCGTCTCTACTAAAAATACAAAATTAGCCGGGGTGGTGGTGCATGCCTGTAATCCCAGCTATTCGGGAGGCTGAGGCAGGAAAATCGCTTGAACCCGGGAGGCAGAGGTTGCAGTGAGCTGAGATCGTGCCATTGCACTCCAGCCTGGGCAACAAGGGCGAAACTCTGCCAAAAAAAAAAAAAAAAGGAGAAGGAGAGAAATAGGGCCGGCCGCAGTGGCTCATGCCTGTGATCCCAGCACTTTGGGAGGCTGAGGCAGGTAGATCACTTGAGGCCAGGAGTTCGAGACCAGCCTGGCCAACATGGTGAAAACCCATCTGTACTAAAAACACAATAAATTAGCCAGGCACAGTGGTGTGCACATGTAGTCCCAGCTGCTTAGGAGGCTGAGGCAGAAGAATTGCTTGAACCCGGGAGGTGGAGGTTACAGGGAGCAGACATTGCACCACTGTACTCCAGCCTGGGTGACAGAGCAAGACTCTGTCTCAAAAAAAAAAAAAAAAAAAAAGAGAGGAATAGTAAATTTATAGTGGAGAAATCTGCAGTCACTAACTTAACCAAATAACCACATGGATGTATCCCTTATTAAAGGTAATCGAAAGGGCACAGCGTTACTTCTGTGGAATTCTTGCCCAAAATGCATAATCTCAATCAAATCATAAGAAAACATCAAAATTGAGAGGCATTCTACAAAACCAATAATTAACCAATATTCATCAAAAGTGTCAAGGTCATAAAAGACAAGATGTTTATAGAAATACATTAATTTTGGTTTCTACTTAAATTTTATTTTTTAAAATAATTGTTTTAGAGATGTGGCCTTGTTAGTTGGCCAGGATGATCTCGAACTCCTGACCTCAAGTGAGCCTCCTACCCCAGCCTCCCAAAGTCCTGGAATTACAGGCATGAACCACTGCATCCAGCCATGTTAGTTTCTTAGTTTTGACCAATGCAACAGCATGGTGATGTAAAATGTTAACAACAGGGGAAACTGGTAAGGCGTTTATGAAAACTCACTTTATTATGTTTGCAACTATTCTCTAAACATAAATTTATTCCAAAATAAAAAGTTTATTTAAAAAAGTCACAAACCAGAATCTAAATAAACCACAGTAGTTTTTTCAAGGCTTCACAAATAAGAGAAGAAAAAACTAAAGTAGAAAGTCTCTCTAGAGGCCAGGTTCCGTGGCTCTGGCTCATGCTTGTATTCTCAACACTTTTGGGGTAGGCAGGCAGATGCAGGATGGGCAGTGGAGGCAATGGTGTCCTGAGATGGGAGGTTCAGCTGAGCTAGGGAAGGTCAAGGCTGCAGTGAGCCAAGATTGCACCATTGCACTCCAGCCTGGGCAACAGAGTGAGACCTTGTCAAAAAAAAAGTTATCTAGAGAAATACTCATATGTTGCTACTGGTACTCAAAAGTGTAATATAAACCCTACCTTTTAATGTTACTAACATACACATATTTGATAACTACTATCCTCTGAATTGTTTAAAACTTTTTTAAACCTCTTAGGTCTCAATTATTCTTTTTCATTTCTGTCACCATGCTTTAAAATCTTTAAACGATGCTATCATTAGAGTTAATGCCTATGTAGTGTTTATAATTGAAGAATATTTTTGAACAGATTGGTACCAAACAGACAATTACTGCTGTTGAAATAATCACTTCTTTAAAAACTTTGTACGTAAGATGATTCTTACTTGTCTATAAGCTTTGGCTTATTTTTCTTTTGAATAAATGCCAGAAAGATTATTAAGAAATCAATGGTAGGCCGGGCACGGTGGCTCACATCTGTAATCCTAGCACTGTGGGAGACCAAGGTGGGCAGATCACTTGAGGCCAGGAATTCGAGACTAGCCAGGCCAACATGGTGAAACCCCATCTCCACTAAAAATACAAAAATTAGCCGGGCATGGTAGCATGCACTTATAATCTCAGCTACTCAGGAGGCTGAGGCATGACAATTGCTTGAACCCAGGAGGCAAAGTTGCAGTAAGTCAAAATTGCGCCACTGCATTCCAGCCTGGGTAACAGAGTGAGACTCTGCCTCAAAAAAAAAAAGAAAGAAAGACATGGTAATGAGTACCTGACGAAAGAATTCACAAATTCTGTGAAGGCCGAGGAATCTCCTATCCATCTGAGGATAACATAAATGGAACGTTAGCTATAGAGTCTTCTGCCAGTGTCTGAAATGGTTCCTATTATAAGGTAGCAACTATTCAAGAATAAGAGGAGTTTGTTCTTTTTGGTCACTTGGGCAGTTAAATTCAAGTTGGTAATGCCATTTGCTACATTCACGTGTGTAATGACAAATTAATTAATAATCCACCATAGAAAATATCCTGGTTTTGGATTTATAAAGAATTACCTGAAAAATTGATACTGAAGACACTGAAGAAAAAACTGTTGACTTGATTTACATTTCTTTACCTTCATGCAACCACAGATCAAAGTCATGAAAGACAAAGAAAGAGTGAGAAATTGTCACAGTTTGGAGGAGACTAAGTAAATATAATAAATAAATCAAAGATGAGATCCTGGATCAGATTCCAGGACAGAAAAAGGACATTAGGGGAAAAACTGGCAAAATGTGAATAAGGTCTGTTTTTTAGTTAATAGTTTTGTTCCAGTGTTTATCTCCTGGTTTTGATAATTATACTATGGTTATGTAAGTTGTTAGCCTTAGGGGAAACTGGGTAGAGAGTAGATAACAACTTTCTGAACTATTTGGACAACTATTTTGCAACTTCTGTAAGTCTAAAATTATTTCAAAATAAAAATATTTTTTAAATTACATTGGAAAATTCCTCAGGAAGTTGTTACTTCAGAGAGAGGCATAGTATTTCTCAATGTTCTAATTGAGTTTTTCTTCCAGCTTTGAGGCAGAACGTTGTTTCTTCGCTTGAGCAGCAGATAAAGTGCAGTTGGCTTGTGCTTTAGTAGCAGTTTGCACAAAAGTATATATTTTTAAATACTAGAATTATGCTCTATACACTGAGATGTTGATACTTTTGAGAGGCCATTGAAAAAAAGGTTCACATTTCTTATATTTATGCCAGAGTATTTGCTCATTGAGAGGAATATTGGGCTGATTTTCCCAGATAAATTAAAATTGAGGGATTTTTTTCCTTCTTTTTTTTTCTTATCAAATGCATATAGTTGAATTTAAATATGTTAAATGTAGATATCATGTGACTTCACTGTGATCCAATGGGGGAAGTAAATATTTAGGAATTTTGCTAAACTGGTTATGGGAGATTCGTTCTTTGAGATTACCCTGTAAATTACAATCATTAAAAGGAGGCCCTTTTGGCGGCTCAGTAATTATACGCTATTTTATAATAGTGACCATTGATTAATCACCTACCACATGCTTGACCATTAAACTGTCTCTAGTCTAATACAGAATCCAGCAATGAAATGTCCCATTTCCTTAGAGATGAAGAAATGGAGGCTCAGAGAAATTAAGTCACTTGCCTAATTTAGGCTTCAAACTCAGTTTGGGCTGTTTCTAAATGTCTAACTATTTACTGGTTGACCTACCCTGCAAGAAATTCTACCCTTAGTGAATTGTGGCATAATGAGATTTCAATATAGAAGTCTTTTGACTTACTTGAAATATTTTGTTAATTTTAAGAAAAAAATAGGATATTTCATTTGAACATAGTCATAGGTAATTATATTTTCTTCAAAATATAGAAAGTCAAGAAAACCCAAAGTCTTCTAGTAATTAATTGAATTATTAGGTTCTGTTAACAACAGAATATATTAAGCTAAAAATTATGTATTTTGTAAGTACATTGACTTAATTGTATCAAGATCAAGAATGCCTTTAAAAATGTATAACTATAGTACTCTAAATGTATTTTGTTTAAGCAAGAAAAAGTATCAATGATCTGAAAGAAGTAACTCTTAATGTTTACTTTCAAAATCTACTTTGGCCCTGGGTGGTGGCTCACGCCTGTAATCCCAACACTTTGGGAGGCTGAGGCCGGCAGATCACAAGGTCAGGAATTCGAGACCAGCCTGACCAACATGGTGAAACCCCATCTCTACTAAAAATACAAAAATTAGACAGGTGTGGTGGTGCGCGCCTATAGTCCCAGCTACTTGGGAGGCTGAGGCAGGAGAATTGCTTGAACCCGGGAGGCGGAGGTTGCAGTGAGCTGAGATCACACGACTGCACTCCAGCCTGGGTGACAAAGCAAGGCTCCATTTCAAAAAAAAAAAAAAAGAAAAGAAAAAGTCTACTTCCTTGGCCCTATATTTACCATACAGAGCCGTAGTAAAAAATTTATGGGTAATCTCCTTGGCTGAAAGGTATCCTTTCAAAGCAGAAATAAATAATTACCCTTACTCTGATCTCATTGAGCGTTTCTAATAAAATATTTAATTATGGACTTCGGATATGGGAAATATTTTCTAGTTGATCTTTTATTCTAATATGTATGCTTTATAATTGGATTGAGTGACAAAGATCATTTACCTGATAAAGAGGGCAATTAAACTCTGTGGCTATTGTTGCTTTCACCTTACAATTAAAAGTGACATAATTAGATCCTATACTTTAGCACCCTGTTATAAGATACAGGTTTAAACCTATCCCTTACATCATGAAACCAACAAGTTTCACTCCATCTGACCCAGCAGCCCTTCTCAGTGGAGCCGATGAGCATTAAAGTGGTTCTGATATCCTCTTTGCCTGAGCAGACAATGTTCCCTCAAAGTTCTCTAATAAACACAGAACACCAATGTTCCCTACTGGAGTTTTCAAAACTAAAGTGTGACCTAGATGATCAGTTTCCCAAACATTCCTGGTCCCAAGAATCACCAATCAGTTATCATTAAAAGTACCTTCTTTTAGGCACCTCATCAATAAATTATGGTGAAATAGATTGTGCAGGGGCTTGAAGATCTGAATTTTAGACAAATGTCACTGGTGATCAGGCATATTTGAGGCATCGGTCTCAAATTTCAAAACAGTAACATACAATAAAGCATCAGTTACTCCTGTGGGGTGTTATTAGGGTACTGGAAAGAATATGAACTTTGTTATTAGATAACCCTCATGTTTCCCCATTTATGAATTTTTAACGTCTCTTTTAAGGTCTGTTTTAAAAGATGATAATATCTATCTCTCAAATTTATTTTAAGTATTAAATATGAAGGATCTGGATTTGTGATAAAGTGTGGTCTGGGAAACAGCAGGTAGCAGTCGCTAAAACCTCGTAAAAAAAAAAATGCAGAATCTCAGGTCTCTTCCCAGACCTGCTGGATCAGAATATGCTTGTTAAAACAATCCTCGGATGATTCACATGCACATCAAAGTCGGAGGGAGGCACTGACCTAATCACTAAGTGTTCAGAAAATGCTAGATTCTTTCCTTCTCATTATGTTTCTTGTACCAATATTTCAACTCAGCTGGGACTCAGCGTCTGTCATCGCCGCTTCTTACTGTTGGTTTAAGTCCATCGGGTACACTTTGAGCTCTTGCATGAGGGAAAGGCATTCATAAATAAACAAATGCATGGGCTGGAAATCAGGCTACTGCAAAAGGTAACTGAGGATTTCTTTCTCAGACCTTTGCCCTCGCACGCTGCTGCAGGAGTGAAGCTGACAACACTCATTTTTCAGTCTTTTCTAAGCCTGGTTTCACGGCTTCTTATATGGGCTTTACTGATAGTTTCCTACGCAGCTCTTACTACCATAGGAATTGTTGTTAGCAGGGGAGACCTACAGCTAATAACTAAACCTGTTACTGCTTAAATAAAAATCGGGGGAAGACTTCGTGAAAAGGTTTTGAGTTTTTTTCATTTCCAGAGTTTATCATTGAACCCTGTGGAGACAGAGAATTAGGCAGAACCTGTCTTACTGCATCAAAGACATATTCAGTAATTGCCTGTAAGATGTATGGCACATGTTAGTGTAAGACAAATGAAAATGAAGATTATATTTTGAATTTTGGGTGTTCACTGAGGGAACAATGGGAAAGGCTTGCTGTTGCAACTAATGTTTTTGCTGGAATAATTTTATGAAAATGGCACATGAAATTAATATTGCTTTTAAATAAGTAGACTCACTCTCAGATTTACAAATATTTTAGCCATAGAAAGCCTTCTCCAATGCCTTGAGTTTCTTTTTGTTTTTGTTTTTTGTTTTTTGTTTTGAGACAGGGTCTTGCTGTGTCGCATAGGCTGGAATGCAGTGGTGTAATCTTGGCTTACAGCAACCTCCGCCTCCCAGACTCAAACTATTCTCCTGCCCTGCCTCAGCCTCCTGAGCAGCTGGAATTACAGGTGCATGTCACCAAGCCTGGCTAATTTTTGTATTTTTAGTAGAGATGGGGATTTCACCGTGTTGGCCAGGCTGGTCTCAAACCCCTAGCCTCAGTGCCCGCCTCAGCCTCCCAAAGTGTTGGGATTACAGGCATGAGCCACCACGCCCCAGCCCTTGTGTTCCTTAAAGAGTTTGTTGTCCAACAGAATTTATTGAGATCTGGTATTTGTAAGTGTTCTATCACTGATATATTCCCTAGAAGAATATTCTTCACCTGAGGTCAGGAGTTCAAGACCAGCCTGACCAACATGGAGAAACCCCGTCTTTACTAAAAATACAAAATTAGCCAGGTGTGGTGGCGCATGCCTGTAATCCCAGCTACTCAGGAGGCTGAGGCAGGAGAATCACTTGAAACAAGGAGGCAGAGGTTGCTGTGAGCAGAGATCGCACCATTGCACTCCAGCCTGGGCAACAAGAGTGAAACTCCGACTCAGAAAATAATATATATATATTATTTTTTATTTTCCCTTTAACACCAGTGAACACCCATCCTCAGAGGCTTCTCGTTACACTATAGTCTGTAGCTAAGCCCACAGCTTGACTTCAACCATAACACACCTCTCTCATTTTCCAGGGGTCCTATAGAAAGTTTTAAGTTGCGTTTTCGCTTACTGTTCCTAAGTTCTTGGAGAAAGATCTGTATATTGAAAGACTGATACACCAAGCTGGGTATGTTAGAATTCCACATGGTAGGTCTTTGAATTCACTGTCCACCATTTGCAATACTATGCAGGGTAAGCTTATATACTCCTTTGTTTCAGTAACATAGATTCAGCAGGATTAATGAGACATGCCTTGAAATTGAGGAAATAAAGAAAGAAGAAGTTTCTTTCACTAAAATTAATGGATTATCATGGCCAAGTGCAGTGGCTTACACCTGTAATTCCAGCACTTTGGGAGGCCGAGGCGGGAGGATCCCTTAAGCCCAGGAGTTCAAGACCAGCCTGGGCAACATGGCAAAAATCTGTCTCTACAAAAAATACAAAAATTAACTGAGTGTGATGGCACACGCAAGTGATTCCAGCTACTGGGGAGGCTGAGGTGGCAGGCTCACTTGAGCCTAGGGGTCAAGGCTGCAGTGACCCATGATCATGCCACTGCACGCCAGCCTGGGAGACAGTAAGACGCTGTTTCAAAAAGAAAAAAGGACAATTTTCTTTTTGGTCTAAATATCTGGCACAGAAATCACTGAGTGTCCTAAAATTTATAATTTATAATGGTTATTGGTTTTAATGGCTATTACTTCTACCATAGAGATTGGCAACCATTTTCTATAAGGGCCAGATAATAAACGTCTAGGCCTTCTGGGCATAAGGTCTCTGATGTTTATCACAACTATTCTACTCTGCTGTTGTAAGTGAAAGCAGCCATAGAGACAAAATGTAAACAAATGGGTGTGTTTCATCAAGGTATTCTTTTTTTTCTAACCATTTAAACAATTTAAAAACCACTCTTAGCTCAGAGTTTCTACAGGAGCCAATGGCTGGGGGATTTGGCCCTTGGGTCTGATATACCACAGTTTCCCCCCAAACAACTGAAGCCTGTGAACTCATGCTTGAAATCAGCCTTAAAGGTCATCTAGTTCACTGGCTTTGGGAGGAAAAAAAATGTTTTGAAACAATGGGAACTTCAAAAAAAAAGTAAGTAAAAAAAAAAAAAAAAAAGGAATGCTTCTCCGGTTAAACGGGGACAGGGATGGAAGGCACGCCTGGCATACTTCCTGCTTTGCTGTTTTGGGCCCAAAATACTTTTCCAGAATCCACAGAAGAGTTTTTAAATCACTGATCTAGTCCAAAACCAATTTTTCCAAGAATAGTCCAAGACTGCATAGCTACTTAGAGGACAAATGTGAACCAGAATTCAAGTCCACTGATCTGTGTATGAAATACTACATGAAATCATGAAATTCTTCTCAGCTCTATTAAAAGTCTTGTAACATTGCTGAATGGCTTAATGGCTGTGCTCCTATCACTGCTTTTTTCTTTTACATTTGATTTTGAAATGATTCAGACCTACAGAAAAATTTTAAGAATAATGGAAAGAACTATCATGTATCCTTTACCCAGATTTATCACTCTTTAACATTTTGAGACACACACACAACACACACACACACAAACACAATTATTTTTTCTTAACTATTTCAGAATACATTTTGCACATCATGTCCTTTATTCCTTGGTATTTCAGTGTGTGCTTCTTGTGTCCTATCACTTTTTAAAGCTGTAATTCTGTAGGCACAAA
The DNA here is from genome assembly GCF_000001405.40 of Homo sapiens. Lineage (NCBI taxonomy): Eukaryota > Metazoa > Chordata > Mammalia > Primates > Hominidae > Homo > Homo sapiens. The sequence goes on along the minus strand of NC_000018.10, from coordinate 54,251,424 downwards.
CTTTGTTTTTACTGCGATCTAACCATCAAGTTTATATCCTCTCCTAGTCTTACTTTTATCCAACGTGATACATGATATGTTTCTCATATGCTATTGCTTTTCAAATGTTTTTATGCCATTAGTTTTCTCATTAATTTTCACCTAGCTATGTAATGAGGGTTTCCCAGTTTTTCCTCTTTCCTCATAGCTTTGCTTCTCCAAACACCTCTGTACATTTTCGGTACATTTCCGGTAAGGGGGGAGTCATAACTGAATCATAACTGTGCTCCACACTGTAGCCTCAAACCTAACCCTCAGAGCTCAGCTGTTATTTTCCAAACCATTGTAATTACCCTCCTATTCATATTACAATAAAGCACTGGTTATTTTATTACTTTTATTTCTATTATTAACTTTGAGTTTAAGTGTAGTGTAGTTTCAGTAGTTAAAGGAAGTATCACTTCCTTTAGAAGTAATTCATGCATATAACTAATGATTCCAAGCAGTTATACTTCCTGTTGTGTGTGTTTTTGTGGCCTATGTAGAAATTTGCTGGAATCAGAGGATCTGAGTTTATGTTCCAGTCCTGCTATTTACCAGATAGGTAATTTTTGTTTTTTTTTTTTGAGGCGGAGTCTTGCTCTGTCACCCAGGCTGGAGTGCAGTGGAGCAATCTCTGCTCACTGCAACCTCTGGCTCCCAGATTCAAGGGATTGTCCTGCCTTAGCCTCCTGAGTAGCTGGGACTACAGGTGTGTGCCATCATGCCCAGCTAATTTTGTATTTTTAGTAGAGACGGGGTTTCACCGTGTTAGCCAGGATGGTCTCAATCTCCTGACCTCATGATCTGCCCACCTTGGCCTCCCAAAGGGCTGGGATTACAGGCGTGAGCCACTGCTCCAGTCCCCAGATAGGTAATTTTTACCAATCACCTTGAATTAGTCCATTTTCACACTGCTGATAAAGACATATCTGAGACTGGACAATTTACAAAAGAAAGGGAGATTTAAGGGACTTATAGTTCCATGTGGCTGGGGGGGCCTCATAATCATGGCAGAAGGTGAAAAGAATGTCTCACACGGCAGCAGGCAAGAGAAGAGAGCTTGTGCAGGGAAACTCCCCATTTTAAAACCATCAGATCTCATGAGACTTATTCACTATCACAAGAACAGTACGCAAAAGACCTGCCGCATGATTCAATTACCTCCCACCAGGTCCCTCCTGCAACACGTGGGAATTCAAGATGAGATTTGGGTGGGGACACAGCCAAATCATATCACACCTAATCTCCCGTAACCTTAGTTACCACATCTAAAATGATACCCAACCTATCTATCCTCTAAACTTCTGCCTTATCTATTTCAGGAATTCTTGTGAGGAAAAAATAATAAAGTAAATGTGAAAGGGCTTTATAAGAAATGCCAAAATATTTAGAAACAGTAGATATCCAAGTATGCAGAATGTGGAAGGGATCATAGAGATTATCCAATTGAACTGGGTAATTATTTTACAGATAAGGAAACTAAAAACCAGAAAGAACTCACTCACAATTCTAACTCTTGGGCAGAATCAGGTTTTCTGGTTCCTAGACCAGTACTTTCTAACTTCAGCAAACTGTCTTCCTAGGCAGAGTCCACTTCTTGGTGGCTCAAGTTTATCCTCTCCATATCATGGTTTGATATTGTAAAGAACACAAACACAAGAGCCAACTATTTTTTTAAGCACCCACTGTAGAGAGTTTAAATAAATATAAAATTTAGAAAAAGCTAGATTATTTAAAGAAAATACACAAGAATTGTAGGTGGCTTCGAATTATATTTAACATTATTTGAAATATGCCAGGACATTATTTGAAATATGCCAGGACATTATTCTTGTCCACTGAAGTGCAGGTTTTATAAAAGTGTCAACAACCAGGATCTATATTGAGCTTGTACAGATTAACCTTTAGTTCAAGGTCAGTAAGTGGCCAATAAAAGCTGCCAATAATATTATCTTTTTTCAATTGACTTCATTATAAGATGTTAAAATAGTATAACAGGTTAATAGCAGAATAGTCATGCCTGAAACCCATTTCAGTATTGATCTGAAAATTTAGACTTGCAATTATTGAAGAGGATGCTGTCATAACTAGTAGATGAAATAGGCAACAAATTAATTTGTCTATAGTGTTAGGTGTTGGAAGAATATTCTCTTTGACATTGGGTTGAATCTACTCTTTAGTGCATTCAAACAGATCTCATTGATTGAATATAAGTAGGTTAAAAGATTGGCAAGACTTGAAGTCCACAAATCTGAAAAGGTTTTTGAACTGTTCTGATAGCAAAAGTCTTTTACTGTATGCCCTATTTAATTCAAACCTTTTATTCACTTGAATTATATAAGGAGATATTAGTAGACTTCAATCAGAGAAAAGACTGCAGTTTACAGAGTTCAAGGCAGTTGTCTTAAGATGATAGAATTGAAAAGGCCTCCAAAATGTCTGTCAGATATAGAACCTTCATAATCTCAAACACCAGATTAACCCTACTGTCAGGGAAGGTTTGAATGGCCAGATCCAGGATTTTATAGATACTTTTATAGGTAATAAATTTATGATAACACTAAAAATTATCGAATTCTCAGATGGCCTCGTGTGAGTTTGTACCTCTAGCTGGCTAACTAATCATAACATTTTTTTTTTTTTTTTTCCGTGACAGAATCTAACTCTGCCACCCAGGCTAGAGTGCAGTGATGTGACTTTGGCTCACTGCAATCTCCACCTCCTGGATTCAAGCCATTCTCCTGCCTCAGCCTCCCAAGTAGCTGGGACTACAGGTGGGTGCCACCATGCCTGGCAAATTTTTGTATTTTTTAATAGAGACGGGGTTTTGCCATGTTGGCCAGGCTGGGCTCCAACCCCTGACCTCAGGTGATCCACCCATCTCGGCCTCTCAAAATGCTGGGATTACAGGTGTGAGCCACTGTACCCGGCCAGTCATGAAATTTTAAACTTTAGAAGGATAAAGTCAGTTTTGAGGTTTTTACTGATCTGTTTTTAAATATCTGGAGAAAATTTCAGGAACGAATCAATATAATTTATAATGTTGATATAATTTATAATTTTATAATGTCAAAGACAGTATTGTTCCAACACCCATGGGTATTTTGGATGTGCCTCCAGCTTATGATTTTCAATCAGAACATTTAAATTATTTTATTTTTATATTTAATGATTCCCTTACCCCCCCCCACGCACAAATCTAAAAGGAACATGTTCATCAATTATAGAGGTTATGTTCCTGAACGGGACTGTGGTTGGCAAAACTATTATTGCTAAGATCATGATCACAAAGAATATACAGTTTTAAGGGGAAAATGTATGCCATAAAAATATTATATGCATTTTTAACTCAGTAAATTAAAGGAGACGTCGTCTGCTTTTGAAACAAACCAGATTTGCTGGCATCCATACCTGCTCTGGTATTTTCCCTGAGTCACCTTTATCAATTCTTCAAGGAAAAATTTCTGAGCTTCTCAGGTTAGCATCATGTTATCAGACTATAGCTCTATTTAATGCTTTTGAATCAGCCCTTTCTGCCTTGAAATTTACTGTTTCTTTGACTTATGCTTTCCTCTGTTTCCTGTCTCAGCAAATGCCTGTGTAACACCCAGGCTTTTTACAAGGTATCTAAATACTTAAGTATTGAACGAGACAGGAGGGAGTCTGATCTTGAAGACATCTGCAAAGAAGGTGGGACAACAAACAGAGTTCTTCATTAACTGCGTTTCCGCTGAGCTGAGCAAGTCGGCCACGAAGGGAACAGAACAGCCATGTGTTTACATAAGTCAATCACAGCGTTTTATTTTTGTTGTTGTTTTTTAATCTCAAAGCCATAGTTAAAATCCCCTCCAGATTCTACTAACTCAGAAATAGACCCAAGAAGGTAAAAAATGTTTTGATTCTCAACTTTATTAGCAGTAAAAGTGGTTATGGAGGGGAAAAAGAAGTTTTATCCTGAGGTCCCCTTCCTACATCTCTCATAGCTCTACCCATGGTGAATTGGAAATGAAGAGCCCCATGTGAACAGCAAACCTGATTCTTCCACTTAGTGGCAGGGTGAGAAGCTGCTTCTGAGAGAACAAAGGCCTGTCGGGGCCTGCAGGAGGCCGAACACACCTGCCAGCTTACTGATGAGAACCTGAAGCAGAGTCAGCCCACAATGCCTCGGGGGAGGAAACCCAGAAAGGATTCTAAAGGCTGGGCCACAGCACCATTAACCCCACAATAGCCTTACGATTGTCAGACTCTCCTCCTTTCACTAATTAAATAAACATCTGTTCTTGCCTTGGGGAAGAACAAAGATGGGGGGTGGGGCTGTGGAGAGACAGAGAGAGAGAGAGAGAGAGTGTGTGTGTGTGTGTGTGTGTGTAAATACAGCGTCTCTGAAAGAGGAGAACAGAACTCTTCATTATTCAAATGGTAAAGACCAAAAGGGTTTAAAAACTATCCCCTCTTTAGGTTGATTTTTTGTAGAGACAGGGTTTTGCCCTGTGGGCCAGGCTGGTCTTGAACTCCTGGGCTCGAGAGATCTGCCCACCTTGGGGCCTCCCAAGGTGCTGGGATTCCACACCCGGCCCTGAAAAGACGCTTAACATTACTAGTCATCAGGGAAATGTAACTTAAAATCACAATGAGATGCCAATACACACACCCACTGAAAGGCTAAACTTTTTTTTTTTTTTTTTGAGACAGAGTCTCCCTCTGTCGCCCAGGCTGGAGGCTGGAGTGCAGTGGCATGATCTTGGCTCACTGCAACCTCTGCCTCCTGGGTTCAGGTGATTCTCCTGCCTCAGGAAAGTCTCAACTCTTTTAAAAAAAAAAAAAAAAAAACTGACTCTACCACATGAAGATGAGGATATGGGGCAACTAGAACACTTAGACACTGTTGGTGGGAATGCAAAATGGTGCAGTGACTGTGGAAAGTTGTTGGTAGTTTCTTTAAAAGTTCAATATACATCTATTATGTGTCATTCCTCTTCTAGGTATTTATCCAAAAGAAATGAAAACATATGCTTGTATAAAGATTGCAAATATTCATTGCAGGCTTTTTAGCAATAGTCAAAAACAATCCAAATGTCCATCAATATATGAATAGATATATTGTGGTACAACCATGTAGTTAAATACTACTCAACAATAAAAAGGAACAGAGTATTGATGTTCACTGTTTACCACAACATGGATAAATCTTAAAATAAGTTGCTGAATGAAGGCTGGCATTGTGGCTTATGCCTGTAATCCCAGTACTTTGGGAGGCTGAAGTGGGAGGATTGCTTGAGTCCAGGATTTAGAGTTGGAGACCAGCCTCGGCAACATAGTGAGACTCTATCTGTACAGAAAAAATTAGCCAGTCATGGTGGTACTCACCTGCAGTCCCAGCTACTACTCAGGCGGCTGAGGTGGGACGATCACTTGATCCTGGGAGGTCAAGGCTTCAGTGAGTTGTGATTGCACCACTGCACTCCAGCCCGGGTGAAAGAGCAAGACCCTATCTCAAAAAAAAAAAAAAAAAGAAAGAAAAGAAAGAAAGAAAAAAAGTAGCTGAATGAAAAAAGTCAGGCCAAAAAAAAAAAAAAAAGTACGTACTGTATAATGCCATTTATGTAGAAGTCTGGAACATGCTAATTAATCGATGGTTACAGAAGGCTCAGTGGCTCTCTGGAGAAGGGGTTGGAGGCAGGGAAGCATTGCCAAGGGGCAAAGGAAACTTGAGGCTTATGAAAACGTTTGTTACCTTGACTATGGTATGTATATATGTTAAGACTGATCAAACTGTACTCTTTAAATGTGTTTGGTTTGGTGTACTTCAATTATACCTCAATAAAATCGAAAACAACAACAACAAAATACATTGAAAAAGCTAGCACTTCAGGATCTTTCAATTTAGGTCCTTTCCTGGCCCCATTGCAGAGGAGGAATCTTTGTCACTTATACCAAGGAATCTACTTTGTTTTCTCTGTTTGGAAAATTGTATCATGAACATCTTGAAGCCTACAGTTGACTAAAACTATAGCTGACAGTCAAGACTAGACCTTGTCTGATAAAATGCATATAGTCAGCTCTTGGTGGTAGGAGAGTTATTTATTCAGATGTATGGCTTAATCAGCCACACAAGATGGGTTATCATGTGTCACTGTAGGAGAATATGAATGTGATCCTAAGTGGGTTCAAAAAACCTGTAGGTTAAAGAGGTGACGTCAGCAGTCCTGTTATCAGACTAGGTAGATATGGTCAAATTATAAAATAGCGCTGTAATCGAAGGAGGAATTGAATGTAATTATTACTTGATGAGACTCCTGAATTTCTTAGATTCATTTACCAGCTACAGGTCCAGGCTTCCCAATACACTACTATCATTGCTCAAATTGTTTTGTGGCTTTCAAATGTTTTTCAGGCAACAGACCCTTTAGTCAAGCAAAATTTCCAAAATCTCACTCAAAACACCCACCTCAGGCCGGGCGCGGTGGCTCACACCTGTAATCCCAGCACTTTGGGAGTCCGAGGTGGGCTGATCATGAGGTCAGGAGATCGAGGCCATCCTGGCTAACACAGTGAAACCCCATCTCTACTAAAAATACAAAAAAAAAAAAAAATTAGCTGGGCGTGGTAGTGGGTGCCTGTAGTCCCAGCTACTCGGGAGGCTGAGGCAGGAGAATGGCGTGAACCCGGGAGGCAGAGGTGGCAGTGAGCCAAGATCGCGCCACTGCACTCCAGCTTGGGCGACAGAGCAAGACTCCATCTAAAAACAAAAACAAAAACAAAAAAAAACACACACACACACCTCAATCACCACCCCGCTGTGCATAACAGAATAATTTTATGACTATGTATTTACTTTGTAATCCTTAATAAAAATAATGTAACTAGAGAATAATGGCCACACGATTTCCCAAGGAGAGTTTGTGGATGACCGTTGGTGATGTATCAGCATCAGCATTCATTTCTATATCTTGTCTGTGTGAAATTCCAGATTCACACAAACAAGAAGTTCCAAATGGTGGTGGTTGTTTCTCTTTTTTTTTTCTTTTTTTTCACCAGTGCCAGTTGAAAACTGAGTATACTCTTCAATTAAACTGATTCAGAAGCTTGAGAGGATGACAACAAATATTTGCCTCTAAATTGAATTACTAAGGATATCTAACAATTGATTTCATTCCTTATAAAAAATTTCGGGGAAGAAACACAAAAATTTAAAATAAATGTCAAACTGATCTAATGTGAAAACATCACAATTCAATATGCTGTACATTTACTTGTTACTGATAATTCACAATGGTACCCACATGTTCTAAGAGTGTTTTTAGTTGTACAATTTTATGTGTTCAGACATGCAAAAACCTAAATTAAAATTGACGAGAAAAAACAAAAAGCTAAGTCAGAACAGTCAATAACCATTAAAGCAATACAAAAACTTTGGCCAGGCTCGGTGGCTCACACCTGTAATCCCCAGCACTTTGGGAGGCTGAGGCGGGTGGATCACCCGAGGTCAGGAGTTCAAGACCAGCCTGGCCAACATGGCAAGACCCTGTCTCTACTAAAAATACAAAAATTAGCTGGGCATGGTGGCGGGCGCCTGTAATCCCAGCTACTCAGGAGGCTGAGGCAGGGGAATCGCTTGAACCAGGGAGGCGGAGGTTGCGGTGAGCCGAGATCGCGCCATTGCACTCCAGCCTGGGCAACAAGAATGAAACTCCGCCTCAAAAAAACAAAACAAAACAAAACAAAAAAAACCAAACACTTTAAATATATTAATCCAGATGGTAGAAAAGTTGTGGTGGTCAGAATCGTACGTGTGACCCTGAAAAGCTATAGATTTTGTATACTCCCCTCCCCTTTGAGTGTGAGCAGAACCTTTAAATAACTTTCAACGAATAGAATATGGCAAAAGTGGTGGGCTATCACTCCTGTGATTACATTATGTCAGCTGGCAAAGGTAAAGAAATTTTGCAGATGTAATTAAGGTCCCCAGTTAGTTGGCTTTATGTTAATCAAAGGGAAATTATCCTTAGTGGGCCTGATTTAACCAGATGACCCCTTTCAACAAAGGGTATCCAGATGGAAGTCAGAGGCTCTCCTGCAGGTCTTGAAGAAACAAACCATCAAGAATTCTATAGCTAGCTGGCCGGATGTAGTGGCTCACATCTGTAATCCCAGAACATTTGGAGGCTGAGGCAGGAGGATTGCTTGAGTGCAGGAATTTGAGACCAGCCTGGGCAACATAGTGAGACTCTGTCTCTACAAAAAATACAGAAATTAGCTGGATGTGGTGGCTGTGCCTGTAGTCCCAGCTCCTCGGGAGGCTGAGGCAGAAGGATCTCCTGTGCCGGGGAGGTTGTGGCTGCAGTATGCTGTGATAGTGCTATTGTACTCCAGCCCCAGTAACAGAGTGAGATCCTGGCTCAAAAAAGGGGGTTCGGTAGCTGCAAGGAATGAACTGTGCTAACCACCACATGTGCTTGGAAGAGGAGTCTGAGCCTCAGATGAGACTGTAGCCCTTGTCAATACCTTCAATACACCCAAGAGCATAATATTCAGAAATGAGACTGATGGCAATGGCAGGCCGTCCAGAGCGGCTGCTACCATCATGCTGGTTGCAGCAGGGAGGCACGAGCAGTGGCAGCAGCGGTGGCTGTGGGAGCAGCAGTAGTGGCGGTGGGTGCTCTGTGCCCCGCATTTCCGACGCAGCCAAATGTGCCACCCCTACCTCGCACAGCTGGGCAGGACCTGCTCCCAGGTCTGGAGCCTCCACCGTGACCTCAACCTCACTGCCCGCTGCATCCCAGGAGCCCACGAGCACCCAGCTGAGGGCGCAGCCGGGACTCACAGGGCCAGCCCTGGAAGCACTGGGTTCATTTGTGTGGGGATGGCCGGGGCCAACGCACTGCGGGGAAAACGTGAAGAGAAGGCACCGCCAGGGCTGCACGGGGTTCCACTGAGCCTGCTGGAGCCGGGGACAAGTGGAAGCTGCGCCGCTTCTGAGTTGGTGGGGCAGGAGCTCCCCAGGTGCGCCTGCAGCCGCTCAAGCCTTCTGTGACCTGAGCACCCCTGTTCTCTTGGGAGCCAGGAGTTCCCCAGGCCCAACGGCAGCTGCCCAAGCCACGGCTGCCACCCAGGTACCCCTGTGCTCTTGGGAGCCAGGAGCAGGCAGGAGCTCTACCCTCCCAGGCACAGCTGCAGCCACAAAAGCTGTGGCTATGGGCCCAGGGATCTCTGCACTCTTGGGGACCCAGGGAGCCGCCGCTTCCCTTGCAGGCTTGGAAGTGCCTGCTCCCACTGTCTGGTTTCTCCCCACTGTTGGCTCCCACTCCGGTTGCCCAATCCAATCTTGAAGCAAAGTTGGGGCTGAACCCGAGTGCTGTTGCAGCCTGGCAGGGTGTGCACAGGCTTGGGGCAGTGCTGACACAGCAGCACCTGCCATCTCAGACCCCTCCGGACTTTGGGTGCCGACAAACATGAGAGAGAGGCCAAGGGGGTACTGAGGACAGCCCAGCACTGGCCTGCAGGCGGCCCTTGGCATGAACAGCCTGGGCATCATGAACAATGGCAGGAGGCAGACAGGCTCCTGGATGGAAGGGGGTGGGTCCCTGGTGAAGCGCCACCTTCAAGCCCATTGGGCCTGAAGCCTGGGGGCCAGGCTGCCCATCCCTGGGGCCAGAGTGGGAACTTGTGGTGCTTTGACCCGGGCCCGCCCATGGCCACCCATAGACCAATCAGCCCACACTTCCTCCCCCTGAGGCCCATACCCCCACCTCATTCAGCTAGACTTGAGGTGAGGATGGAGAGACACGGGACAACCAGCTTCCAAGAGGGGCTACCCTCTCTGCTGAGAGCTGAACACTCATTGGTATAACCTGCCTGTAGAGAAGAGGTACCCTCTCTACTGAGAGCTGAGCACTCACAGGGAAAATCTGCCTAGCAGAGAGGAGCTACCCTCTCTGCTGAGAGCTGAACACTCATCAGGGCACCCTGGCTATGGAGAGGAGCTACCCACTGTGGGTCTCCTCTGAGCTGTTCCATCACTCAATAAAGCTCCTCTTTGTCTTGCTTATCCTCCACTTGTCTGCATACCTCATTCTTCCTGGATGCAGGACAAGAACTCAGGACCCGCTGAATGGCAGGGCTAAAAAGAGCTGTAACACAAGCAGGGCTGAAACATGTCCCTTGTTCGCCACATTGAGGGTGACTAGAAGAGAGAAGCAGAGAACAGCTGCAACCCTTCAGGGATCCCAGACCTAGAAGCTCCCCAAGCTGGGGCTGTGACACCCTCTTTAGGGATCTATGGTTCCTGGTGTTTCCAAGCTTTTGGGCACCACTGCATTCCCCGGTGTCAGCTGTGGAAGCTGCTTATGGTACACCTGGTTTAGCTGCAGCATCGCAGGGAGCCGGTGCCTGTGCTGGGCCTGGAGCTGCCCGCCCCACTGCAGCCAGCATGCCTGGCTATGCGCAGTGACCAGACCCCACGCTTGCTCACAAACCCCTCACTGCTCCTTGCCTGGCTCACCCTTGGCAGACATGGGATCCAGGCTGGTAGTGGAAGCTGAGCGCAGCCTGCCAGGCCGAGTGGGCGGAACAAGCCCAGTGGGCCAGAGCAAAACTCGGGCAAAGGCGCCACTAACCACAGAGGTTTCCAGCTGGCAAAGAAACGCCCCAAGGATCCCATGACAAGACCATTAGTAGAGGACCCAGTGAAGCCATTTCCACACTCCTGACCCATGTAAATTGTGTAATAACAAATGTGTGTTGCTTTAAGCGGCTAAATTTGTGGTAAGTTGTTATCTAGCAAAAGAAAACTAACACAGATGCTTTATTCCCAGGCAAATAAATACTGAGAACAGTTCAGTGTTCTCATTCAGTGTTAAAATTTCTTTAAGCTCAGAATTATAGCTGAGCATAATCTCTGAAATGCAGCTCAGTTAGAGAAAAATACAATATGAAGAGTCCTTCAATATTATACTAAGAACCTGAGGAAAACAATAAACTGCTTGCTAAGCTCTATGCAAAAATGAGTTAAGCCAGCAGCATAAAATGACCTCCAATAAGTTAAAAGTTGATGGATGGCTGGATGCAGTGGCTCACGCCTATAATCCCAGCATTTTGGGAGGCAGAGGCAGGCGGATCACGAGGTCAGAGGATCGAGACCATCCTGGTTAACACAGTGAAACCCCATCTCTACTAAAAATACAAAACAATTAGCCGGGCGTAGTGACATGTCACTGTAGTCCCAGCTACTCAGGAGGCTGAGGCAGGAGAATCGCCTAAACCTGGGAGGCGGAGGTTGCAGTGAGCCGAGATCGTGCCACTGCACTCCAGCCTGGGTGACAGAGCAAGACTCCGTCTCGAAAGAACAAAAACAAAAACAAAAAATATCACTGAGACAATTGTCAGAACTTGAATGTCGTCTGAGGATCATAGTAATGTATCAATTTTAATTTCTTTATTTTGATGGTTACATTGCCATTATTAAGGAGGAGAATGTCTTTATTTGTAAGAATTACAAATTAAAATATTTGGGGTTATAGAAGGTCATGTTAGCAATTTTGTTTTAAAATGGTGAGGAAACAGATGTTCTTGCAATCTTTCCGGAAGTTTGAGATTGCTTTAAAATGAAAAGTATACAGAAAGCTAAAACTTGGACTTTAAAAAAATTATGCATTTGGGAAACGCCTCAAAAAATTCCCCTGAAGCACTGTTTTAAAAGTCTCTGTTTTGCCTATTCTTCAGAAAAATAACAATGTTTAATGAAAGTATTTCTTATCTATATGGCAACCATATAATTTTTTATTCATTTTTAAAACTGTAAAATTCATCATTTTTTAATTTGTGGTTTCACTAATTACTTGTTTCCTTTGTGATAGATCATGATTTGGCTTTGAAAAGTTTGCAGAAGATATATGCTAAAATAAGAACAAATTTATCTTTTCATATTTTCATACATCTATTAATTCTCCATTTCTCTCTATAATTAGTTTGATGCCAGGCATAGTGGATCATGTCTGTAATCCCAGCACTTTTGGAGTCAGGGGCAACAGGATCGCTTAAGCCAGAAGTTTGCTATGGCGACACAGCAAAACTCTTGTCTCTACAGAAAAATTTAAAATATAGAAATTAGCCAGGCATGGTGGCACATGCCTCTGGTCCCAGCTACTCAGGAGGCTGAAGCTGGGGGATTGCTTGAGCAATTTTAAAACATTGCTACTAGATTCCAAGAAGTGTTATCTTCTTATGTATTTACTCTAGACAAATGGCATGTTTAGAAACATTTGCAAACATTTCTGTTTATATGTCTTTTAAAGAAAAAATATTTCTCATTAAATGTTTTGATATTGCTTTAATCTTTTTATTTACTTTTATCTTCATGAAACTCCTATATTAGAACTCCCTGATTAATAGATGAAGGAGATGAGTAAGGGGAAGGAATGAGGGCATAATTCTCACTCAAAGAGCAAGCTTTCCTCTCTGTCTCTGGTAAGACTGCTGCTCTAATATTCAGCTTTGTAGTCATTGAGCCTACAGGGACTCTGATTTTCTAGACACAACTCTCCTTCTTTAACAGGTATTTTTATTCTGCCTTCACCAAGCAATCAGACTTGCCAGTAAACACCATGAACAGTTCAGAGCTATCACTCAGTGCTAAAAATTTATTTTGGCTCAGAATTACAGCCGAGAGCAATCTCTGAACCTCAGGTCAGCTAAAGGAAAAACAGGAAGAGTACTCCAGTACTATATACTAGGAGCCTGAAGAAGATATTAAGCTACATGCTGAAAATGTCGATTTAAGGAATAACGCCATCACAAACAACAGTGACTCAAATGTACATAAAGTGCACACAGGGAATAATTAGTTACCGTACAAAAATTAAAATTTCATATAAAGAAATGTATAGTTGTACTTACCCACGATGTGTAATGGAAAGAGCCTAGGTTTTAAAACTAGATGGACCTAGGCTCAACTTCAAATTTATTATTTGTCATTTGGGTAAACAGCGATGGGTAATTTAATCTTTCAACGCCTTAGTTTTCTCATCTGTACACTGAAGATAATAATATCTACTTTGCATGGTGTTGTGATGATTAAACATAATGCATGCATAGTGTCTAACACAGGGGCTGGCATGTAATAGCCACTCAGGAAAAAGAGATAATTAACCTTAATATCATTAGGTTGTTAGTGAAGGTACCAAAAGAAAATCACATTACAATTTTTTAAAATTGTCAAATTTTATTCAAAATAATACAGGCACATGGTTCAAAAAGTTAAAGAATGGAAGTATATAAAGGAAATATGCAGTACCTTGTTGCATCTCTTTATTTCTTAGTCCCACTCCCCCGAGGTAACACATTTCTGCTTTTTTAGCTGTTTCCTCTAGTGTAGGTTCACCTTTCTAATTTTTGATTCAATCACTTAACCACCGTTACATACTACAAAATATCACTATATTATGACCATGATTATATTTCTTTTCTTTTTTCCCTTCATCAAGGAAGTTCATCAAAGAATTTCATCAAAGTTCAATGATGACCTCTTTTTAAAATTTTCTTAGTATTCTATGTAACTATCACCGATCTTTTCCCCACACACTCCAAGAGCTTTTTAATATAATTTTCTACATAGCCATCAGCACAGATAACCAATCCTCTTTTTTTCCCCACTAGAGATGTGCCTTCCGTAACCTCTGTCCTCTTCCTTTAACCTGGAATATTGCTCTTCAGGCCTGTTGTGCAGCTAAGAGCTTCATTCCTCATCATCCTGGGGTTCTTTCCCTCTCTCTTGTGCTGGAATCCCTCTTGCCTGGATCTCTCACCTTCATAAATCTAGTTTACTCCTTTGTTTTGGTAGAACACATCCTCCAGCAGCTTTCTAGGGAAGGGTGCTTGAGAAACATATTTTTTGAGATCTACCTTGTAGTTCTGAGGATGATTGTTGACTGGGTATAGAATCCTAGTTTGAAAATAATTTAAAAGCAAATTTGTAAATGCATTGTTTCTTTGCCTTGTAGCTTTCAGTGTTGTTGAGAAATTCAACGATATTCTTATTGTCAATCTTTTACATGCGCATTTTCTTATCTCTGAAGCTTTTATGGCCTTTATTTGTGATGTTCTGAAGTTTCATGACATTGCATGTAGGCGTGGGATTGCATTTTCTTCATTATGCTGGGTTCTCAGTGGGCCTTTCAATCTAGAGGACTCATGTCAAGAAAAATTCCTTAATTAGAAAAAAATCATTTCTCTATGTTATGTCTGCTATTTGTTTCTGGAATGTCTGTTATTTCTGGACAAGGAATAATAAATCAAACAAGGTTTCTGGACCTCCTTGTTTGATCTCCTTTTTTTTTTTTTTAACATCCTTTTCTGGGAGATTTTCTTAACGATTTTCTAATATTTCTACTGATTTTTTTTAAAAATTATGCTATTATAGTTACATTTCTAAGAGCTCTTCCTTATCCTCCAATTTTTTTTTTTTTCTTTTGAGACCGAGTCTCACTCTGTTGCCCAGGCTGGAGTGCAATGGCATGATCTGGGCTCACTGCAAGCTCCGCCTCCCGGGTTCATGCCATTGCCTCCCTAGTAACTGGGACTACAGGCGCCAACCACCACGCCCGGCTAACTTTTTGTATTTTTAGTAGAGACGGTTTCACCGTGTTAGCCAGGATGGTCTCAATTTCCTGACCTCGTGATCAGCCCGCCTTGGCCTCCCAAAGTGCCGGGATTACAGGCGTGAGCCACCGCGCCCGTCCAATTGTTCTTTTCTAACATTGTCTGGTTCATCCTAAAGGATCTTCCGAGTATGTTAATCTCTGAATAATGTTATATCATCAGATTTTTTAAAAGCTTCTTCAGTTCCCTTTGTTTCCTCTGTTTCTGCCAAAGTTATTTTTTCCGCTGTGTTTTTTTTTTTTTTTTTTCTTGCGCTGTTTTTCCATGTTAAAGGCTTTCTTCAAATGCCTGGAGATCCTGGCTGCCCATATTAATGAGTAAAACATAGGAAAGCTGTTTGGAATCTCTGTGTATACGGGCAGGAAAGACCCTTAAAATGTCTTGAAGGAATAAGAAAATGGTACAATATACAGAAAGCAGGGCTTCTATGTACCTAGAAAAAAAACTTGGAGATATGTGCTGAAAAGTTAAATAGTGTCCTCCTAGAAAAATCTATTTTATTTAAAAAAGTGGAAGAAACAAGATAGGAAGAAACCGACGCGTTCTGGCCAACCTGGTGACGCATTTGAAATGTAATCAGCTGAAGGACTTTATCTGTTTAAGACAAAGTGAGAAGGCACAGTAAGAACCTAAGAATGGGATGGCCTGATCAAGAAGATAGTGAGAGAAAACATTTGGAAGTGATCGAGATGATAGTGAGAGAAAACATTCGGAACTGAGTTAAGAACAGGCTGTTGTGCTGAGGAATCCGGTGATGATATCATAATGTTAGTTCAAGGAAGCGAAGTTAGTAGCCTGCACATTCTGCTATTTCTATGGGGCTGAAAATCATCTGCCCTCT